>NC_000006.12:1878181-2029696 GCF_000001405.40 Homo sapiens | reverse complement strand
GCCCCAGATCCCTCCAGAACACAATTCAAGATTATTTCATAATAGAAGTGATGCCTGACACAAGTCTTGTAAAATGAGCAAAGTGTTTCCAGCCTTTTTAAGTTTGCCACTTATACTGGGAGGAGAGGTTGGGCTGGACTGCAGGTGCAGTTGGCAAAACTGTCCTGTCAATGCAGACATAATTCTGGGAAATTACCAATACCCTGGACAATTTGCAGTAAATTTTTGCCAGGTAGATAATTTATCTGCTTTTAATATCTCTTAGTTGAGGTGTTAAGAAATAGCAGAATGCCCCAAGGATTACTGATAGGTGGTGAGAAGGAATTTGAGGGGAGTCAGAGACAGGGCAGGTTGACAAACCGGACAGTCACCTGCTGAGTAATTAAATAAAGGTTATGATTTATTTTAATGTAGTTGCAAAATATCTGGTTAGGGTGTGTGTGTAAATATATGTGTGTGAGAGACAGACACACACAGACACAGGCAGAGATGGAAGAAGCCAAAAGGTGATGTCCACAATTAAATTTAGATTAATATTTGCTGGGATTTTGATTGGATTTACTTTCTGTCTTGAAAGAGATTAAACTTTAACAAAATGCTTTCCAGTTCTTAAACATATATAATTATCTATTTTTTAAAAAAGGTATGGTAAAGGTCTTAATTTCTGCCATCTCATTCCCTCTGGTTAAAAAAAAAAGAAAGAAAGAAAAAAAATCACCCAGCAGAGCCATCTATCTTGTATAATCATCCTCATAAACCCCTAAAGTATGCTTTGCTCCCAAAACATTATTGGCATGGATCCTGGCATACAATCATCACACCAGTAATTACAGCTGTTAACTGGAATATAGTCGTTAGTATTTACTAGCCTCTATTATGAACACATAAATCATTTCATAAAACGGTGAGTGGACACATTACTTGTCGTTTTGTTTATGTTAGACATTCTCTGCAGGTATTCTACATGAAAGTTAAAGCATTCTGAGGCTCTTTTTGTAGACTGTGCTTATCATTAATAGAAAGCAGCATGTGTGCATCCTGCAAGCCCATTTCCTTATTTAAAGTGGGCATCCTTCCTCTGCTGAGATGTGCTTCCTCTTTCGTTACAAGACTGAAGATCAAGCCTTTGTAAACCCTTAAAGGTACATCCCTTCCAAATGACCTTTTGTCCTGAGCGACGAAGATGTATTGTTTAGTCCACTCAGAATTACATGGGGTGTCCTAAGAATTTTTGTTTTGGTTAATTAAATTTGGAAATGTGTCATTTTTTCCTATTATAAAGCATAAATGAAAGTCCAGTCAAATTGATTTTAGAGTTCTGGTAGATGAGATAATTGCAGAAGCTAAATGATTTAGGGTTTAAAAATGTGTTTAGCTTTTCTTCACTTAGAGAAACTTAAAACATATTTAACTTAAGTGAACTTGTCTGTGCTTCTTTTAATCTTATAAGGTGAGTTTATATCAATGTCATATGCTAAGCAGTCTTATGAATTAAACTAAATGGAATGAGGCGCTGTTTGTGTGAACAAAAGTATTCATTTTACACATAAAGATGTTTGTTCAAAGAAGCTAAAATGGAGATCTAAATCAGAATTCATTGAAATATGTAAGATATTGTTTTACAAGCTAGATTTTTTTAAGGCGGGCCCTTTAATAGTAGCTTTCGCCAAGAGTTCTGTTTTTCTTTAAAGTTTTGAAGCTTTTTTTAAACCTTTGTTCAAAGAACTATAGACACTAGAATTTTTTTAAGAGTCCAAAAGTGTAGAAGAACAGGACTCTGCAGTGGCAATGAGTTTATATATTGTATCATGATAGAAAGCCAATTTGATTAATATGACAAAACCTCCATTTTCTTCTACTGTACATGTTCAAATTTTGCAGATCATTTTGTGAAGTTTTTACTTTCCGTTAAAAATATATTTTTAATAAAAACTTTTCATAAACTTTATGAAATGTAAATTTATGGCTTCTTGCTGTGTCTGTATTATTACATGCTATTTACCCTGTTTTCTAATAACTGTCTTGTACTCTGCTATTTCCTTACATTTGTTTCTGGAAGAATCTTCCTTGCCTTTAGCTGCCATGTTCATAGAGCAGTAAGTTCTGCTGTTGTTTCTCACTCCTGCCAAATATGCTTATCATTATGTTGATGATTTCTCTTCCTATTCCAAACCCTAACACTTTTCTCCTGGACTTGCAAGAATTTCTCCCTCCATCTCTGCATATTTTATATATTCAAATAAAAATCTTTCAAATTCCCTGCTTTAAAATAAAATCACCTTAGCCCCTTTCTGAGCATGCTAAACTCAAAGGAAAAGAAAATATTAATTAAGCCCTGGGTTGCAGAGCTTTCTACCTGTGAATCTCTCTATATCTGGCTGCCTTTTTTCTCCCATTACCTTCACTTGTTCTGCCCATGCAGCCAGTCTCACACAGAGAATGTCCTTGCCCAAAATGTGTTCGCTCCTTCCTCTGGCTGTGTCCACCTGTTCCACGTTTTTCTCCAAGGACTTCATTCTCCCTCGCTTCATAAGATCAGAATGCTACAACTTCCAGAGTACCAGCCAGGGTCCTCTTCTTCATGGAGCCATTTAGACACAATGATCTTGTTTCAAACTATATTCTCTGGTTCCTGTTCTTAGTTTACCATTATGCTTTTGATTATGTACATGCTAAAATGTATTCCATAATTTCTGGGGGATTTTTTGGTATATTTTCTTTGATATTATTATTTCTTATATGATCTGTGTTCCTTGGAAAATGTATTTACCTCATTTCCTATTTCTTGGTAACATCTCAGAATTAGTACAAAGGTCTTCATGTGGGCAATATTCAATAAACTAATGAAGCTGTAATAGTCAAGTTACAAAGTATATAATTTCGGCTTGATTAATATGCACTGACATCCCACTTCTCTATTGCTCTGGCAGCTGGCTGCCTCATCCACAGACACTGGGTTCTATGAAGTTCACTTTGCTCTGTATCCATCAGCATTATCCAAACCAGGCACTGGGAGGAATTCCCAGGAAGTTTTGAGAGTGGCTGTGAGCACTTTAGGAAATGTTCATGCTAAAATTAAAACAATTTTTCTGATAACATGTACAAATTACAAAACTGAGATTCACAACAAGTTTCTGTCTATGGCCAGTGACGTAGAAAATAAAAATGTCGATTCAGCTGCTGGTGGTTTTGAATATCATGCTAAGAGAAACGATGTGTGCGTTAACCCTTCTCTTTATGTCTCGTGTAAATTGCAAAGATCTTTCTGCATGACTTGGTGTTATTATTATCCTTATTTTCCACGTCATTAAGTCCATGACACATTCTGAAGATACTTGTGTGAGGACTGGGAAAGCAGAACAAATGGAACCTCATGAATGGAGAGTGAAGGTGTGTGCTTGGGAACTAAGACTAGATGGAGCTTTTTGAGTTTGAAGTGAGAGAAGCTGGGAGGCTTTCCACACCTTGAGATAAAGAGCGAGCCACATGGCCAGAAAGCCCAGGGGGTCTCTGGCCTAGGACCAGGTGGTGGCCTTTGACCTCCCTTTGCCTTTTGAGCACCGTTTTTGGTGGGTATCTGTTGAACTAAAGTAATTGTTCTTAGAGTTAAACCTCTTACATTAAAAATATAGTGAAACTTGAGTATTTGAGTACAATGTGCTAAGGAACCTTAAAATTAATTTAAAAAGTTATTTGGTAATGTAAAAAAGTTCTAAGGACTATGTGGCCATGTAGCAGTTAAAAATCTTTTTTTTAACAAAAAAGATGTAACATCTTAGAGAAAGGCAGACATGATAATTTGCCATGTGACTGTTAGAATAATCTAATTTACAGAGCTGATTATTCAGGCAATTTCCTATGTCGGTTTTTTAGGATTAAGAAAGAACTTGCCCTCTTTGTTTCCATTTTGTATTCTGTACATACTGAGTTGAGCTTGAAGCATGTATTCAGATTGCTGGAGAACATACTGACTTAGCAGCTGGCTACATGGTATATACATCTTTATTCATTCATTTATAGACCCAAAGGTTAAGGTACAAGTATTAGGAAATACTTTCTTTTTATTACTCATGCAGTATGTTAGTTTAATTTACTTGGATAATAATAGCTGTATAATGTTAAGTGAATGCTTGATTTGATTTTTTTTTCAATTACAAGGAGAAAGAAATCTTCCACTGTGCATGTATGTGTGTGCGTGTGTGCATGTGTATTGGTTCTAAATATTTATTTTCTTGACATGAACATTTTATCCTGACCATTTAATAGGCACTTAATAAATATTTACCAAAACACACACACACACACACACACACACACACACACACACACACACACACACCCCACCATCAGATTTACAGAACTAATAGTTTTGATTTTTGAATTATTCCAGTATATTTAATAATATATAAGATCTTAATGGCATTAACAACATGTGAATACAAATGGAAACAAATTTGATGTCTTTACAAAATAAAAATAAAAATCAACTTTAATGTCTTCTTTCTTTGAGTTGTTTTCTTCTGTTCCTTCTTTTATTGAATGTTAGGTTCATTTATTTTAGTATCTTTTCCTAAATGATTGCATTGAAGACTATAATATTCCTACAAAGTATCAAAATCTCTCACTGCCATTATAGTTTTATCTGTTTCTCCTTGTTGTATGATTATCATATCCTTTTGGTGGATACTTTTACTAGTATATGGTATACTTTTTTATTCTTATTAGTATTAGAATTTAAAAGAAGAAAGGATTAATGCTAAATCAACTTTCTTTTTGTGACTAGTTGCCTGAGATTTCTTTTTCTACTAATATTTTCAATTAATTGTCCTTTTTGCTTTCAGTGTATTTGAGTGATAATTAGGTATTTTTTTTAACTTAGGAGTTGTCTTTCCCTTTTATAGGTAATAATGCACTTATACTTATTGCTGTTATTGATATAAAGATGAGTTCTATCTTGTTAATTTATGTTTTGTCCTTTTTCTTTGCTTCTCTTTTCTTTCTTGCTTTTGGCTAGTCTGATAGAATTTTCTTCATTTCCTTTTCCATGGCTGTTGGTTACAAATTTATACTTTCTCTTTGTATTCTTTTTGCTTTTATAGTTAACTTTAACATGCATACTTGATGAAGTCTAAATCTAATTAATAGTTCCCATTGCCTACTGAGAACACTTTAACCCTGAACTGCTACTTCCCATGTTTCGATTTATTGCTTTCCAGTAATTTCATTCTCTCTTGTTTGCCTTTCTTTCCAATTAATCATTGTTATTTTTGTTATTTTTAAATAAGGCTGGTAATTCTTTAGATGTATCCATATGTTCACCAGTTTCTTTACTCACTGTTATTTCTGCCATCTTGCTGCTGCATTGTGAGTTCATCTTCCTTCTTGATAAAGTCTGTCCTTTGATGATAGTTTCTGTGAAGGCGTGTGAGTTATAAACTCTCTGTCTTGTCTGAAAAAAATCTCTATTTTGCTTTTACTTTTGAATAGTATTTTGGCTAGTTACAAAATTCTAAACTGGCAGTAATTTTCTCTTGGCAATATGAAAATATCCTATTATCTCTTACTATCTATTTTTGCTATTGGTGTAATTGTTACTCTTTCAAGATTCTTTTCTCCTCAATTTTTTTTCTTTTTTTGATTATTAGAAAGTGAAAAGCAATTCTCCCTGATTGTGTTTCTCAGTTGTATTACAGTATATCTGGATGTGGGTTAATCTTGTCTTTTAACCTGAGAATTTGTGGTTTTCTTTGATTATTGAAAATTCTCAACCATGTCTCCTTGCTTCACTCACATATTATCTATTTCTTTCCTATGTAACCTTTATTAGGCACATTTTGGAGCATCTCAGCCTCTCTTCCATATCTTTAAGATTCTCTTTCATCTATTTTTAACTTTTTGGTTTTTGTGCAGCATTTTGGATGATGTTCTCATCTCTGTCTTTTAGAGCATGATGTCTCCTACTCACCTTACCCATTTGGGGATAATTTTTGTGACCATTTTACTAAATATATGAAAAATCAGTTTAGTGCTTACTTCAAATCTACCTTTTCTTGCCTGTGGCTTTACTTCCTTCTTGTACCTCTTTGAACATTTCAAATACAGTTATTTTAGAGAGTCTTTTGTATTCTGTGTTTAGTTCTTGGCGTGCACATGCTCCTGTGTGTCACATCTCTGCCCTCCGTGGAATGCTGTCCACTTGGCCTGCAGAAGGGCCCCTGAAGGGGGTCTCACCTTTGCTTGTGCCAAGACTCCTCAGGTTTCACCTGTTTCAAACAAGTTTTCTTATGTTTTGAATTCTGAAAATTGTGGCACAGAACAGTTTATCCAACCCATAGTTGTTACGAGGAAGAGACACAAGTCCTGTCCTTTTGTAGCTTATGGCCATCATCATTAATGAAAGAGGTTCGAGTATATGTAAAGATGGCAGGGGAAGCTTTATTCTGAAGTCAAACTATAAATAAGTTTAATTTGACAGTACATATCTAGGTAATTACTAGTGTTTTAAAAGTCAGTGTCATTTACATGTGAATTTGAATATAGTTTTCCTATAGTGTAAAATGAAATTCAAGCCAGCTATTTGAAAAATGCCCAGAACATCTCTGGAGACACAGTTTGATGACCATTTACCTAGATTCTAGGTCCTACGTCAGTATTAGCTGACATTATTTGCCAAGAAGTTCCAGGATCTGTGTATTTAATGAAATAAATTAGAGAGGAAATTATAAGTAATTAAAAAAACCCTCTAATTACATAAATTTAGATTTAACACACAATTCTTAAAAGACACATGCCTGAACAGTTTTTATTATTCCTCAGACAGAGGGCTTATTGGAGTTTTGGAAGTTCTCTGTCTGTGTTCTAAATGTTCACTATTATTGGCTGAGGTGCTTTCTAATTAACTGATTTCCAACTGTGTTTTACATATAAAGTAAAATCTCTGCTCTTTTGGGAATGCTCTTTTCCTGTTTCATCAAATATGCAGTCAATAGAATGAAATTCAAAAATACAGATTTTAGTAGTCTAAAATTCTGTGCACTAGAACCTTGGGTATAGATAATAACAAATCTTGTGCAGCTAAGTTCAGTTTTGTACTGTTAAATGTGGTGGTGCTTTTTATTTCATAATGTGCATTATCGCGAGCAGATTGAACAGGTGATCTCATTTCTGATATTTTCCACTCCTTTTCTTTTAAAATTTGAATTTTAAAAATCATTGAATTCGTGTTATTTTAAATATTTTGTAGCATCACTATGGTCCTCTTAATCTCATGAATCTCACGAATGCAAAAAATACCAGAAAAGTGCCACAAAATTGTCACTTGTCTTTCAGAGCATGGATTTTATGCCAGTTAGGGATTAAGAGCTACTGCTTCTATGTGTGGATCCTATATCCACCCATTTACAATTAGTACCTTGAAGGTTTGCCCTTCCTACCCTGGCTGATATATTTGCTTTAAATTTTTCTTTACCCTCCTATGAGATTTTCTTTAGATTTTGCTCCACTTTGGTTTTTTTAGACCCTGTTCCCTGTCCTTCTGGTTTTGCATCTTCTACTTTTGGTACAGCTTATAAGAGTTGCCTGTGTCGTCTTTCCATACCCTGTTGCCTTGTTAGGCTTAGGCAGCCTGTCAGGCTATAAAACTCAGGCTTCAATGAAAAGCATTCCCTCATCCTCAAGTCCAGCTTTTCTCATCCTTTGGCTTATTAGGATTACACAAAGGCCATTTGATGTTGGGCCTGCTGTGTTAGCAATTTAATGATGTTGAGAAAGAGACAGTGGCCAAGTCTTAATGAGACTGCCATTTCACAACCTCTAAATCAAGACTATCCAGCTGAGGAAGCCTGGCTCCTTGCCACCCCACCAGCTGGGTGGTGCATGCATTGTTAGTATCGCCTTACAGAGCGATTGGAGCCCAGGAGTGCAGGGTGTGTGGTGTGGTGGAGAGTCATTTCCACAGTTGGGTGGGGACGGGAACTTGGAATGCTGTCGTTAGTGGATATAACTGCTATGTTTTACCTGTCCAAGATGCTGCCCACTTGCAAAACTGGGATTAGAGTTTTAGGAACTGAGGTTAACACAAGACCTGGAGACTAAGAGAGCCACAAATATTTTACTTATTATATTAATTTTTGGCTTTTTTTCCACCTTGTATCTTTACTTATGCATTTATTGTTTCTAGTGATTGAATGCTTAAGTTTTTGGACTAAGCCTTTAAACACTCACTTTATGTCTCTTTATTATTAGGAAAAAGGCACCTAGATCTCTTAGTCTGTTAATCGACTATCTTAAGGGTCTAGAGACCACTACAACTAGTGTCTCATCTGTTGATCTCTGCTGTTTTTATTTCAGAATCAGGTGACTATCCATTCTTTGTTTCATTCCTAACTTCTAGGTTCCAGTAGATAAAGATGATCAGCATTTGGCTCCTTAGAATGGCTGGTTATAAATAGACCAGAAAATAGCAACAAGCTGGGCTGCTCCTTCACTAATGGCCCTTTTCAAATACTTAAAAGCAAATGATTCATCAAATAGAATCACTACAGGCAGAAACCTGCCAATTTGTAGAATTTGACTCCTCCTAATCAGAGTAAGGCAACAGGATGTGGAGTTCCTGCTCTGCACCTGATTAAAGCCAAATGCAGGAGAAGCAGCTGGGAGAAGGAGGAAGCTCAAGACCATCTCAGCTGGGGGTAGAACTGCTGCAGAAATTTAGAGGAAGATGATGTTACAAAACCTTTCACATTTGTTTTATTTTTCCAGTATAGTAGTAGATAAGCACATATGCAGCGCTGGGGTTTAAAGTTTTTAAAGTAACCCTGCATGTGCTGTTTAAGCAGAAACAATAAATCTAATGATGTATGGTTTAAGCAACATTCTTCCTTATGAGTAGCTGTATTATTTTTAGGTAATTCTGTTGTCCTAAATTTGCCTAATTTCCTCTTTCAGTGTTTATTTTGACTATTAACAGAATCACTGTCTTCACTTACATTAAATATTAATTTCCCCCACTGGATTTCTATTTCAGTAAGCATTTTTTTTTGCCATTAAGGGGCTCTCTGATTTTGATTTTTTAAAAAAAATATGCCTCTGGATGCATTGTAGTGTTTTCTCATGATGTATTAAAGCATGCAAAATGTATTATCTGTAGTAATTTTACAACTTTTACAAAGGTAAACTAAAACTCCGTTTCCATAAAAATAAATTTTAAAGAAGTTGGAAGCATTCTGCCTCTGCTAAAGTAGAACCAATAAAATATTAAGACATTTCAGATTCTTTTTATATAATCTTAGTTTCTAAATCTTGCTGTTTAGGATTCTCTATGTGATCTCTCATAACTGATATGTACATTGTTTTTATTTTTTAATTTATTTAATTTATTTTATTTATTTATATAGGCATAACATATGCCTAAGTTATGACCTTTAGGCATACATATTCAATGTTGACAATTTCAATTTTTATGCATACTTTTATTGTTCTCAAGGCTAGCCTTAAAATATTATTTTCTTGGAACAAATATGAATATATGCAGCATCAGTCATACATATATAAACTCCTAAGGCTCATAGCAGTTTTCTGGATGTTTGACAGTTTAAGACTTTAGGTTAAACATATGGTTTCAAATATCAAGAAGCAGTCAAAGACATCACAAGAAAACAATATACTAATATCTTTTCTGAATAGATGCAAAAATCCAAAACAAAATATTAACAGATTGAATCAAGCAACATATAAAAAGGATTATACACCATGACCAAGTGGGATTTATCTCAGGAATGCAAGGTTGGTTTCATATACAAAATTTGGCTACTGTAATATAGCATATCAGTAGAACAAAGGGCAAACACCACATAATGGTCTTAGTAGATGCTGAAAAATTTGACATTTGAAAAAATAAAACACCCTTTCATGATAATAGCCACCAAACTAGGAATAAAAGAACTTCTGGCAGGAAGAGGTGGCTCATGCCTGTAATCTCAGGACTTTGGGAGGCCGAGGCAGGTGGATCACCTGAGGTCAAGGGTTCGAGACCAGCCTGGCCAACATGGTGAAACTCCGTCTCTACTAAAAATACAAAAATTAGCCGGGCATGATGGTGGGTGCCTGTAATCCCAACTACTTCGGAGGCTGAGGCAGGAGAATCACTTGAACCTGGAAGTGAGCTGAGATCATGCCATTGCACTCCAGCCTGGGCAACAGAGTGAGACTAAAAAAGGAAAAGGAGAACTTCTGCAACCTGAAAAAGAGGATCTAGAAAAAACTCACAGGTAATATCATACTTAATAGTGAAAGATAGGATGCTTGCCCTCTAAGATGAGTAACAAGAGGAGATTATGGGCTGTCTCTGCTTCATTCAACATTGCATGGAGGCTGGAGCTAGAGCAGTTAGGCAAGAAAAAGAAACAAAAGACATCCACATTGGAAAGGAAGAAGTTAAACTATTTCTATTTGGAGATGACATCATCTTATATTGTATATAGATGATCCTAAGGAATCCACTAAAAATTATTTCAGCTGATAATTCAGCAAAGATTCAGGATACTAGATCAATATATAAAAATCATTTGTATTTCTATACACTCTCAGTGGTCAATAAGCACATAAAAACATTATTAACCATCAGGGAAATGCAAATCAAGACCACAGTGAGGTGACATTTCACATCTACTGGGGTGGCTATAATAAAAAAGACAGTACCAAGCGTTGATGAGGTTGTGGAAAAATGGGAACTTTCATACACTGCTGGTGTGAATGTAAAGTGATGTAGCCACTTTAAAAAATAGATGGGCAGTTCCTTGAAAGGTTAAATGTCAAGTTACCATGTACCCCAGCAATTCCATCCCTAGATATATACCCCAAAGAAATTAAAATGCATATTCATAGAAAAACCTGTACATGAATGTTCACAGCAGCATTATTCATAATAGCCAAAAGATGAAAACAACACAAATGTTCATTTATTGATGGATAAATGGAATGTAATTTATCTATACAATGAAATATTTTCAGCCACTTAAAGTCAATGAAGTACTTATGCTACAACTTGGATGAACCTTGAAAACATTATGGTAAGTGAAAAAGCCAGTTAGTAAAAACCACCACGTATTATGATTCCATTAATATGAAGAGTTTGGAATAGATAAATCTATAGGCATAGAAGGCTGACTAGTGGTTGTCTAGGGTTGAGGGATTGGGAACAAATGGCCAGTGACTGCTAAAAGGGGTGTAAGGTTTCTTTTGAGAGTGTTAGAAATGTTCTGAAGTTGACTATGTTGATGGTTGCTCAACAACCATCAGTGTATTACTGAAAACCATTGAACTGTACACTTTATATGGGTGAATTACGTGGTATGTTAATTATATCTCAACAAAACCACTGTCTAGAACTTGACATAACTCCTTATTGTTTCACTAAGTGAAGCTATGTATGTTTAGATACGATTTGAGTCATAGCATCAGCGTAATTCTATTCTATAATCATTATAGACCTTAAAGTTTAAGGCAGATTATATGTCAGGTTGTTGCCAGTAGATAGAGAAGGTTCAAATTAATACTCTGAGAAAATAAAAGTTATACAGAACTGTAGCTGAAGATTTCAATGAAGAAACAAAAATTGTAAAGGTTTTTGTGGATGACAAGTAGGGTGAGGAAGACTATGGATGGCAGAATATTTTGAATTAAGTTGAACATTTTAAATTTAAAAATTATTTCTATTTTTAAAAAACAAGATAAGCTTAATTCTTTACCAAGTATACCTGCAGCGTATGCAGCTTTCTTCAGTAGTGTTAGAATGGTGACCTGGTGACAATATGGCTTAATTTTAGATTTGACTTTTTTGGAAATGTAATGTTTTTTCCTTCTTTACAATTTTCTTAACATTTTCTTTTCTCTGGCTTACTTTGTTGTTAAGAATGCAGTATATAATACATATAACATATGAAATATATATTAATCCATGATTAAGACTTCAGTCAACAGTAAGTAGTTAGCAATTAAGTTTCAGGGCAGTAAAAATTTATAAATGGATTTTTGACTGCAATGGGGGTTGGCACTCCTAATTCCTATGTTGTTAAAAGGGTCAATTGTGGGCTGGACACGGTAGCTCACACCTGTAATTCCAGCACTTTGGGAGACTGAAGCAGGCAGATCACCTGAGGTAGGGAGTACGAGACCAGCCTGGACAACATGGTGAAACCCTGTCTCTACTAAAAATACAAAAATTAGCTGGGTGCAGTGGCACGCGCCTGTAATCCCAGTTACTCAGGAGGCTGAGGCAGGAGAATTGCTGGAACCCAGGAGGCGGAGGTTGCAGTGAGCGGAGATAGCGCCACTGCACTCCTGCCTGGCAAACAGAGTGAGACTCTGTCTCAGGGGGAAAAAAAAAAATAAAAAGAATCAACTGTGGTTGTTTATGGCATTTCTTTTTAATATTTGTAAGATCTGCAGATAATTTGCTGTCTTTCATTCCTGGCATGAAAATTTTGTGTCTTGTGTCCACGCTCCTCTCCTCCACCCTCGCCACCCCCACCACCTTTCAGTGCTACCTGGAAATATTTCTTCATTTTATTGATCTTTTCAGCAAATTACCTTTGGCTTCATTGATTTTTCTCTGTTGTTTTTTCCTTTCCAGTTCATTACTTTCAGCTTTTATGTTTATTTCTTTTCTTCTGCTTACTTGGGGATCGATTTGTCTTTTTTTTTAGCTTCTCAAGATGAAATTTAGATTATGTGTTTTAGATCTTTCTGCTCTTTCTATAAGTGTTTAAAACCATAATTAGCCTCCCAGCACTGCCTTTGCTGACTGATTTTTGATATGTTTTAATTTTCAATCAATTAAAATACATATTCTAATTTCTCTTGTGACTTCTTTGACCCATGGGTTATTTAGAAATATGCTCTTTCTAAATATTTGCATATTTTCTAGAAGTCGTTTTTATTGATTTATAGTTTGATTCTATTGTTGTTGAGAGTATTTTCTTTGTTATTTCGATCCTTTTAAATTTGTGGAAACATGGTTTTGGTCCATTTTATAGTCTTATTACATGAGCATTTTGGAAAGAATATATAATCATCTGCTCTTAGATATAGTGTTCATTAATCGTCCATTAGTTCAAGTTAGTTGATAGTGTTATTTCTCGATTTCCTGTTCTCTAGTTTCAGCAATCACTGATAAAACTGTTGAAATATCCAATAATAGTTCTGAATTTGATTCTGTCTCCTTTTGGTTGTGGTAGCTTTTGAGTCATATATCTTGTAGCTCTATTATTGGGTCCATGTACATTTAGGATGGTTATGCCTTCTTTATTAATTGACCACTTTTTTATTGCGATAGCTTCCCCTTTATTTCTGGAAGTACTCCTTGATTCTCTGTTGTTTGTTTGTTTTCTGGACAATTGTCTGTTTTTTCATCGTCTGCTTTCTGCTTTTTTTTTTTTTTGAGACCGAGCCTTGCTCTGTTGCCTAGGCTAGAGTGCAGTGGCGCAATCACAGCTCACTGCAGCCTCAACTTCCCAGGCTCAAGCAGTCCTTCCACCTCAGCCTCCCAAGTAGCTGGGACTACAGTTGTGTGCCACCATGCCCAGATAATTTTTCTGTTTTTTTTTTTTTTAATTTATTTTTTTTTTTTTTAGAAACAGGGTTTTGTTGCCTAGGCTGGTCTCTATTTCCTGGGCTCAAGCAATCTGCCTGCCTCGGCCTCCCAAAGTGCTGGGATTACAGACCTGTGCTGCTACATCTAGCCTTCCTTTAAGGTGAAATCTCCCAACAAGGAAAGAAAAAAACCATAAACTGAGGTTGCTAAGAATGAATCTTCTATTCTTAAAATGGGAAAGAAAAAGTCATGCTAGTTTTGCTGTTTTGCTAGTTTTGCTGAACTGCAAAATTTGGGCCACATTGCATGATAAATGTCCAGTTAAGATGGAAAGGCATTAAATTTGTGGGTAGAAGACATGAACAAACGTGTGTTCCAATTCATAGTAGTTGGATTTGGTACTGTCTGCAGTTTCAGGCATCCAGTGGAGATCTTGGAAAATACACCTTACAGATAAGGGGGACTGCTCTATTTTCTTTATTTGGCTTGCTTTAGGTTTATATTGCCCTTCTTTCTCTAGTTTCCTAAGATTATTGATTTGAGAACTTTCCTCTTTCCTAATGTTGCATTCAATACTATACATTTTCCTCTAAGCACTGCTTTTCCTGCACCCCACACATTTTGATAAATTGTAGTTTTACTTTTATTAGTTAAAAATATTTAAACATTTATCTTGATACTTCTCTGATCTATTTTTTATTTGAAAGTATGCTATTTAATCTCCAAGTATTTTCTAAATTTAATTTTGTTGTGATCTGGGGGCACAGTTTAATTTCTGTTTTTTGAATTTTGTTACTGTGTGTTTTATGGTCCCATCCATGGTCTATCTTAGTAAATGTTTTATGTGACAGTGAAGAGAATGTGTACTCTGAAGTAATCAGTAAATATCAATTAAGTCTTTTTAGCAGATTGATGGCGTTTTTCACTTCAGCTATGTCCTTGCTGATTTTCTGCCAGTTGGATCTGTGAATTACTGATAGAGGGAGGTGTATAGTCTCCATCTCTAATAATGGCTTTATTTCCCCTTGCATTATTAGTCATGTCTGATGAATTTTGTTGTTCTTTTGTAGGGTGCTTACTTCTTAAGGATTATTATGTTTTCTTGGAGAAATGACCCCTTTATCATTACATAATGTCTTCCTTATTCCTGATAATTTTCTTTGTTCTCTCTGAGATTAATATACCTATTATAACTTTCTTTTGATTAGTGTTGGCATGATATACACTTATCCATCCCTTTACTTTTGATCTACCTGTGACTTTATACTTAAAAGTGAGTTTCTTATAGACAACATATAGTCAGGTCTTATTTTTTATCCACTGTGTCACTCTTTGTTTTCTAATTAGTATATTTAGACTATTTACATTGCAAATAATTATTGATATGGTAGAATTAATATCTGTGATATTTGCATCAGTTTTCTATTTTTTGCAGTTATATTTTATTCTTCATCTTCCTCTCTATTCTTGCCTTCTCTGATTTTCATTAAACATTTTATATTCTATTTTTTCTCCTGTCTTAACCAAAAAACTTATTGGAAAAAATTTTCAGTGGTTGCCCTAAAGTTTGGGATATACATTAGTAGCTAATTTAAATTCACTTTTAAATAACGGTATGCTGCTTAACAGATAGTTCATGTACTTTATAACAGAGTATTTTGAACATCTCCCTTCCACCTCTTATAACATTGCTGTCCTTCTTTTCACTTATCCATATACTATAATCACCCATATGTTGTTTCGTTTCTGTTATCACTTTGAACAGTTATATATTAAATCAGTTAAGAATAAAAACGATTTCATTTTACCCTTGTTTCTTTCTTTTTTTTTATGGTTGTTGTTTTTGTTTCCTGAGTTTTTGACCTATATAATTTTCCTTCTCGCTGAAGAATTTCTTTCAGCATTTCTTGCCAGGCAGGTCTCCTGGCAATACATTCCCTCAGTTTTATTTGCCTTAGAAAGTTTTTATTTTTATTTTTTTGGGGGGGGGGGATAATTTTGTTGTATATAAAATTTTAGTTTGTTGGGTGTTTTTCTTTTAATACTTTTAAATATTTCATACAGTTGTCTTTTGGCTTGCTTGTTTTTTGACAAGCTTCTTTCAAAATACTCTCTTTCTCTTTGGTTTTTTGCAGTTATGATATGCATATATATATATATATATATATATATATATATATGGTTTTTATCCTCTCTGGTGTTCTCTGAGCTTCCTTGACTTTTGATTTGTTATTTGTTGCTAGATTTGGGAAATTCTCAGCCATTTCTTCCTTTCTTTGCTCTTTTTCTGGCATTCTCATTACATGTTGGTTACACCTTTTGTAATGGTATCACAGTTCTTGGACATTGTTTCATTTCTTTTATTCTCTTTTCTCTGCATTGTAGTTTGCGATGCATCTATTGATATATCTTCAAGCTCACTGACTTTTTCTGTGGTCATGCCAGGGGAACTCATTTCTGTCAGTGTTTTCATTTCTATCATTTTCTTTTGGTTCTTTTTCCCACCTCTTTTCTTGCATTACGCATATCTTCTTGTATGTTGTCTACTTTTTCCATTAAGTTTCCTAAAATATTAATCATAATTATTTTAACTTCCCTATCTGATAATTTAAAAATCTGTTATATGTGAATCTGTTTCTAATGCTCACTTTGTTTTTTTAGATGGTGCTTTTTCTTGTTTTTCTTTTGTCATGACCTTGTCATTTTTTTTGTTGAAAGCTGGACTTGACTTGTCAAGTAATAGGAACTGAGATAGTAAGCTTTTAGTGTGAGGTTTTATGTTAATCTGACAATGAGCTGGGTTTTGTTTAGTATTTGCTATAGCTGTAAGTGCCACAGGTTTTAGTTTTCCATAGTTGACTTGTGATGTTGTTTCTTCACTCTCTTGTCTAGGATACCTTGAGAACTATTTCCTAAATAGAGTCTGTGGCTTACTGCTCTCTCAGTTGTAATCCACTCTTACTATATGGAAGCCCTGTTGATGAATGTTGGTAAGGTCCTATTTTTAAAATGAGGCTGAATTTCTGGCCTGTGGCCAGAATTGTTTCTTAGCAGTTTTTTTTCTTTCTCTTTCAAAGGAGACAGGACAGATAGATGCGGCCAGAGTTGAGTGTCTGCTTTTCCCCTAGGTCAGAGAAGACTTTGTCGAAGCATTTTCCCTGAGAAGGCAAGTTTTTGTTAGGGAGACCAGAACACCCTTGGTGTATTTCAAAACTGTTACTGCAACAGGAGGGGGTTTTCTCTGATGTTCACCGTAAAGACTGTCTTGGAGCTCTTGAAGGTAAAATTCTTAAAAGTGTGGGGACTCCTCTAAGTTGGGGCTCCTGGGACTTTTTTTAACTCCCAAGCTAGTGCATATTCATTCTGCAGGAATTCACTGAAGTTACCATTTTGATTTTCCTGGCGGTTTCTCCTTCAGATAAGCCAATCTCAACCGCCATTCTCTATATTCACCTGTCTCTCCAGAAAAAAAATAAAAAAGAATAATTTTAATGTGGTTGTTTGCCCTGTGACCTAAATTCTCACATGGACCTAAGAAAAGTCATCGGTTTTCCATTTCCTCAGCATTTTTCTTGTTGTGAGGACTAGTGGTAAACCCAATTTCTTTATATTTTGTAGCTGAAACCACCCAGCTTTCTTTTCATTAGTGTTTGCATGATAAAACTGTCCGTCCTTTTAACCAATCTGTCTTCATACTTATATTTCACATAAAAAACATATTATTGAGTCTTACAACAATTTTATCTAGTGTGAAAATCTCTATTAATTAGAATATTCAGACCATTTCACTTAATGTAATTATTCATCTAATTAGATTACAGTCTTTTAATTTTATTTCATTTGTATTTCTATAAATTTAGGGGGTGTGAGTGCGGTTTGGATCCGTGGATATATTGTGTGGTGGCGAAATCTGGGTTTTTAGTGTAATCATCACCCAAATAGAGTACATTATACCCACCACGTAATTTCTCATCCCTCACCCCCCTCCTGCCCTTCCAAGTCTGTGATATCTTTTATTCCACTCTCTATGTCCATGTGTACACATTATTTAACTCCCATTTATAAGTGAGGATATACAGTATTTGACTTTCTGTTTCTGAGCTATTTCACTTAAGATAATGGCCTCTTGTTTCATACACATTGCTAGAAAAGACATGATTTTGTTCTTGTTTTATTTTACTTTTTATTTTTGAAGACAGAGTCTTGCTGTAGACAAGAATGCAATGGCATAATCATAGCTGATTGCAGCCTCAAGTTCTAGGCTCAGGGGTTTTCCCATCTCAGCCTCCCACGTAGCCAGGACTATAGGTAATGCGCGACCACGCTTAGCTAATTTTTAATTTTTAATTTTTTTCTAGAGACTGAGTGTCATTATGTTGCCCAGGATGGTCACGAACTCCTTGCCTCAGGCAAATCCTTCCACCTCAGCCTTTCAAAGTGTTGGGATTACAGGCATGAGTCACCGTACCCGGCCCTGATTTTGTTCTTTTTTATGACTGAGTAGTATTCCATGGTATATATGCCACATTTTTAATCCAGTCTTCCAATGATGGACATGTATGTTGTTTCCACATCTTTACTATTGTGAATAGTTCCGTGATAAACATATAATTGGAGGTATCTTTTTTATATAATTGTTTCTTTTCCTCTGGATAGATACCAAGTAGTGGGATTGCTAGATCGAATGATAGTTCTATTTTCAGTTCTTTGAGAAATCTCTATACTGTTTTTCATATAAGTTGTATTAATTTACATTCCCACCAACAGCGTATGTGTTTCCTTCTCTTTGCATCCTCACCAACATCTTCTATTTTTAGACTTTTTAGTAATAGTCATTTGGACTGTTGTAAGATGATACTTCATTGTGGTTTTAATTTGCATTTCCCTGATTAGAGATGTTGTGATCATTTTTTCTTATGCTTTTTGGCCATTTGTATGTCTTCTTTTGAAAAATATCTGTTCATGTCCTTTGCTGAGTTAAGCCCTTTTAATGTTTTGGTTTTTATTTGTCACATTTGTTCTTGGATCCTTTCCCCCGTCTTTTCTTGCCTTATTTGGGTTGAATTTGGTATTTTTAAAGCATTCTTTTAAATCTTTATCTTATTTGTTTATACCTGTTTGATTTTTTAAAAAATAATTTCTCTAGATTTTGTAATAAGCACCTGTATCTTATCTCTCTCTATTTGTAGACAGTATTATATCACTTCCCATATAATGTAAGAGGTTGACAATAATATACTTCCATTTCCTCATTTGGTCTTTGTTCTATTGTTTTCATAGATTTTATTTCCCCATGTTTTTAACCCTGCAATATATTTTTATTATTTTGACTTTAAACAATTTTTAAAACAATTTTTAAATGAATAAAAGGCTTATTTACCCACATCTTTATCACTTCTGATGTTCTTCATTTCTTTACATAGATGGAAGTTTTTATTTGGTATAGTTTTTGTTTAGTCTGATTTACATTTCATGTAGTTTCTGTTTGCTCTCAGTGAATTTTTTCAGCTCTTGTTTGTGTCAGCCAACATCTTCATTTTACCTTATTGAGTGTTATTTTCATAGATATAGAATGCTAGTGACTTTTAGCACTTTAAAACTCTTTTTAGATTAGATTCTGTTTAACATTTTGACAAGTAATCTCATCATCCTTGTGTTCATTTCTCTATGGGTCTTTTTCACTCTGTTTGCAACATTTTTGCTATATCACTAGCTTAGGGTAATTTGATTTTGATGTGCTATGTGTTTTTTTTTTTCTTTCTTTCTTTTTTTTTTTTTTGAGATGGAGTCTTGCTATGTCACCCAGGCTGGAGTGCAATGGCACGATCTCGGCTCCCTGCAACCTCTGCCTCTCGGGTTCAAGCGATTCTCTTGCCTCATCCTCCCGAGTAGCTGGGACTACAGGTGACCACCACCACACCTGGCTAATTTTTGTATTTTTAGTGGAGACGGGGTTTCACCATGTTGGCCAGGCTGGCCTTGAACTCCTGATGTTGTGATCCACCCACCTCGGCCTCCCAAAGTGCTGGGATTACAGGTGTGAGCCACCGTGCCCAGCCTGATGTGCTGTGTGTTTTTCTTGTGTTTATCCTGCTCAGGGTTCGTTGGGTTTCTTGGATCAGAAGGATTACAGTCTTTATCAATTTATGACAGTTTTCAGCCATTATATCTTCAAGTATTTTTCTTGTATTTCAATAGCATGTTAGACCACTTTTTCCAACTGGTCATTGAGGCTATGTTCAAAATAAATATAAGCAATCTGTTTTGGAGAGTACAGTAACGTGTTTTTTGATACTTTGTAGAATTCTGCTGATAGAGATGAAGATCCTATTTGTCATTGACATTGGCAGCTTTTATCACATTCTGTAATAATAATCATTTTCCCTTTCCATTTTTTAGTATCTTTACCAGTTTTCATCTCCTTTGTTCCTGATGTTTTGGGTTCACATTAAATCTTTGCTGCTTGATTTATTCCTTGCTTAGACTTATCTGTGCTGCTTTAAACGAACCAAGGATTGAATGGTTTTCTGTGCTCAGATCTAACATATTTGTGAAAGAGACCCTCCTGCCTTTTAAAAAGCATATCTTTGTGGCATTGTGAAAAGTTCCCAGCTGGGAATCTTGGATTCTAGTCTGCTTTTGACAGCAATTACAGGACCTAAGATCTCTGAGGTGTAGTTTACTAAACCATTGGTTCCTGAATCTGGCCATGTACCTAAAGATAACGTTCTGAATTCCCATTCCTCAAGTGTCTGATATCATAGATGTAGTATGGGATTTGGGAAGCTATCTGTATAAAAAGTCACCTAAATGGAGCCTGTTTCACTGTTGAGAGTTGGTTGGTCACTACTTCTTCATGGTTTAACCAAATGTCAATCAGGAAATACAGAATGTAGAGGCATCAGGATGTGTGAATGTTCGTATCTTGAGTTTAGTTTGGGAACAAAGAGCCTAAAATGTGTTCCCAAATGTGACTGGTCAGTCAAGAAGTGGCACTAAATACAAACCTAGCCACTTTTCTCCTTTAAATTAGAATAAAAATACCTAGCTCATTGGATTGTTACAAAGATTAAATGAAATGCTGAATATAAAATACTGACAGTAATAACAGCACTTAACATCTTGCTTCCTGTTTTTATTTTTATAAACTCAGTTACCAATCTAGCAACTTGCTTTTCATAGAGTAATTGGCAAAGTAAGTAAGAGAGAAAGCTGAAACTTAAACACAAAACCAAAAAATGAGGTATGTTACGTACCTGCTAGGGCATGTAACAAACTAAGATCAGTGCTGTGGAGCACATGTCTACACCACCTTGGGAGCAAAGGAACTTCCAGCAGGACTCACAGGACAAGTATGAAGCACTAGTTAATCTCTGAGATTCATTTAAGATATAAAATATTTTTCTAAATGAGTCATTTTCTACAGTCTTGGCCTATTGATATGGTTTAGGTACATGCAAGCTAAGCTCCTTAATTGTCTGTTATCTACAAGAATGCTTCTCTTTTTGCCCAGCAATATAGAGTATCAGCATTTCTATCAGTCATCAACAAGCTTGATAGTGAACTGTCAGCTGCTCAGCTCAGGGGTAGAAGAGCTGAGTAGTTATGAAAGAGGCAGCCAAGGGACACACTGCTGAGTCCATCCACTAGATCAGCCAGTCCTGACATGTATGCCATAACAGCCATAACATATTAACTCCACAGTCAGTGAAGAAAAACGCATCATATGTAAGTGTGACAAGTATTGGTTTAAATATGTATAAATCAAAGCCATATATTTTGTTTTTCATCAAGAATAAATAAAAGAAACAATCCTAACAAGAAATTTTACATTTAAAACGATGTTAAAAATGCTTTCCTACTGAAATTTAGTGCTAAGAAAATGTTGCTGTCTTGGGAAGAACTAATATGGATACTCTTAATCAAATGATGAGAAAGATATGATTTTTAACCTACTTATATTTTATTTCTAAAGTATTTTGAATGTAAATAGACTATAAATTGCAATTTTAGAAGTATTTTGGAAATAAATGGAGTAGAAAAGATAAATTTTAAAATGTTCTGAAATTACACAAAATAGTAACATGAGGTCATAGTATATTTTCTTTGTAATACATGGTGATAAGCACTTAAGTTTTGATATTTAGTTTACAGTTGACCCTGAAAAAACTTGTGGAACCAAATACTCAAGAAAAAAGAATATACCCTTTAGCACTGCTGACTCAACTGCTGTGCTGAGAATCCTTCTATTATTTGAACATTTTTCCCCTGAAATATACCACTTTATAATATCAGCCATTCAGTTTTGAAGAACTATAAGATTGTTTTCAACAGTGCAAAAGCCCTTAAGCTTTGGAAGCCAGGAAATTAAAACATCAGGCTCTTTTATGAGAAAACCAAGTAAATTTGAGAACATAGTGAGGAAACAGTGTCAAGCTATGTAATATTCTTGAATGTAGAAGAACTGGAAGGTTGCACATGTATCCCCTGAACGTAAAATAAAAGTTGGAAAGAAATAAAATTAAATAAACTAAAAAAAAAAGAAAAAAGAAAAAACTGAAAGTAACAAGAGAAAACTAATTAAAGGCTAAATTTCTTACAGAATTTTTCGTTATAAAAGCCTGGACAGATAATGTTCTCTGGAAGTGTAGACGCTTAGAATTGTGAAAGAGTGGCATGTTTTACCAGAAGTGTACATGCTTAGAATTGTGAAAGAGTGGCATGTTTTACCGGAAGTGTACACGCTTAGAATTGTGAAAGAATGGCATGTTTTAATTAGGGGAATGCTTATGGTGTGCTGTAATGGTATTACTTGCATTGGTCCTGTTAGTTCATTCAGTAACACACTTTGTGTTACACAGATGCACACACACACACAGCTCCTAAAGTTGTGGTTTCATGGGATAATTGCATGCCTGACAGAATCTGAGGTACTTTTCTGTATTTTATGCCTTGAAGCTACCTAAGGATGAGATCTTTGTACAATTATTCCACCTCATCAAAATCTGTTCAAAACTGTGTTTTCTAGAGTAATTTGTTATCTTCTATTGTGTTTATAAGAGTACTGTATATGAAACTTTCTTTAATCTTTTGTCACTTTTTCTCTATTCCTAGGGAAAGTTATAAGAAAAGAAATTATATGACAGATGGGCATTTTTCTTCTGCATAAGCATTTACTAAGCGTATTGCTCAAAACACATCTGCATTTGAGGGCAAATTATTTGCCGTGTGTCCTGCAAATAATTCTCCCAGTTGCTTTGAACACTGTGTTTGCAAAACTTCGTATATTTTGTATTCATATAAATTAATTTAAAGGTCAGAATGTTGTGAAGTAATTTTGTGTGATTAATTTATTTAGGGGAAAGCTAAATGCCTTGCTAGCTTTTTGGTTACAGAATGGAAAAGGTGGTAGAAATTATTGAGAGGGAGACACAGGAAAATGATGTTGAAAAGTGTGTTTTCAGCTAATATAGAAACATAAAACAATACACATAGTATATAAAATATTAATTTGTAGGTTTTCCTAGAAATTAGTAAAAATTGTATTTTGTGGCAGTTGTTAAGAAATGCATAGTAATTATGAGCAGAGATTTAGAACCCAGCGCTTTTTCCTTCATGCCAGAAACCAGTGGATTTGATGATGTCTATACTTGTCTTATCTTTCTTTTTCCTTTTCTGGAGACAGGATCTTGCTGTGTGGTTCAGGCAGAGGTGCAGTGGCATGATCATAGCTCACTGCAACGTCAATATCCTAGGCTCAAGCGATCTTCCCACCTCAGCCTCCTGAGTTGCTGGGACTACAGACATGGGCCACTACTCTTGGCTATTTTTTTTTTTTTAATTGTTTGCAGAGTCAAATTCTCCCTGTGTTTCCCAGGCCAGTCTCAAACTCCTGGGGTCAAGTGATCCTCCCACCTCGGCCTCCTAAAGTGCTGTGATTGCAGGCGTGAACCACCGTGCCTGGCCAATTTTTATGTTTCTGTTGGTGCCACTGAGTGAATGGAGGTGAGGGCATTCAGGTGGAGGAAGCTGGACATGCTTGTCTGGAACTCAGAAGGTGATTGAATTAGAAATGAGGATTTGGAGGTCATTAGTGTATAAAATGGTAGGTGACTGTGAGGAAATCAGTCTGACAAAATGAGTTCTGTAGGGGACAGAGACAGACATTGGGAACACCAAGTGTCAAGGGTGTCGAGTGAAAAGAGCCTGGTTAGGAGTGATTAGAAAAGTAGCAGGAGAATTAGGAGGTGGTGATATATAAAGACCAAGGGAAGGGAACATATTTCAAGAAGCATGGCACAGCCTCCTTGAGTCAAATGTTGTCACCTGTCCCAGGTGGTCTGGAGGGTCTAGCTGAGTCTGGAAGTTGGATATCTGAGGTGTGTGCCAGTTGGCAGACCTCTGTGGTTTTCTCTTTGAGGTCGAACACACTGGGTGTAGAAGTGGAGAAGACAAATGGGTAGGTTGTACTGGATTAATGGAAGATCAAGAAGGTAAGATATTGGTCCTGATAGAGTGAGTCGAGTGACAGACTATGGGGTCTAGACTTTTTTCTGCTGTACCAAGATTTCTGATGGAAAATGAGCCAGCAGAAACGAAAACTGTTAAAGTAGATTTTACATGTCAAAATGCCAGTTGATTTAGGATGCAACTCCAGGCTCTGTCCATTCCAAGACACATAAATTTGTCTCTGCTTTCCCCTGAAAGAGTTGAAATCATAAAGCGGCAATTGTTTCCTGAGGGGTAAATGGCCATTATGCACTGGCTTCGACTAGGATTTTCTTACCTCTAGCTTGGACCATACAGTTGAATTCCCTGAATCCTAGTGATACTTAACATATTGCACGAGGCCTTGTATTTTGAGGTAATTTAAAACGTTATTAATCCAGGCCCCATTGAGTAAGGACTTGAGCTATTCCAGACACAAGCCTTATTAAAACTCACAGTAACAGTCTCTGAAAAAAGTTCCACTAAGCAAACTAATAGTGCAAACAAGATTTTAGCAAGAATGTTTGAACTACTTACAACAGGACTTTGTTTATAAGCACCCTTAAGTACTTCTTAAGTACTTGAGAAGCTCTGACTTACCTATAAACTGTCTATATACTCATTGCAAATCACCCTTATCTGGTTATTAAATCTGTGGATTGATACTGTGTAAGATTTTATTAGTTTAATTCCAGTTGCTGTATTTTATAGATTTCAGCCGCTAATGTCAAACATTCGCTCAAATAATTTTCTAACGAGCATTATTAAATCCAAACATCAGAAACCCACTGAAAGCTTTCTTAAAATTAGGGTCTGTCTTTGTACTCCTTGCTCCTGTATCCCACAATCCTTATTTTGATCACTTCTGCTGTCTCCTCACACAATTTTGGGAAATGTCATTGGATGAAGTGTTCAGGATTTCTTTCCTGTTTCCAGAAGTCTCAAGTTGTGGTATCACCCGCTAAGTTCAGTGATAGTTCAGAAGGCTTCTGTCAGTAAGAATATTGAGCCAAGCCCAGGGGATGTGTCTTTGTATCAAGCTCCCCTGTGTTAAGCAACTATGAGCTGTCAGACTTCCCTGGTATAATATCTGGTATCATCTGGAAGGACTTAAGAGGAGAAATACCTTTAATGTTTTTAAAATTAGTTAATATCATAGTAAATTACTGAGTTGTAAAATTCAAAAAATGGCTACATTTTACTCTCAAATTTTGAGTTGTTTTGAAATATTAATAGTAATAGGTAGCTATTTCATGGTGAGGGATAATAAATAGCGGCGTCTTGATGGCCTCCATAGGTCATGATCTCCACAAAGCACTATATCCAGAAAAAGTCCTTTAAAGACTATGCTGCTTTAAATCTGTATCACTCCTTTTAGGCTGTAGGCGTTGTATGACCAATAAGTACTTTCAAATTGTCAGTCTAATGGAAGGGCTTGCCCTAGAGCCATTTGGCAATGAACATACTCTAAAAGCTTGAATAAATAATTTTAAATGTAGAGATATATGTCCAGATGACTTATTTCATTGATCTCTGACTATTTTGTATATTTCAAAGAGAAGAAGAGCCTTGTCACAAGCTGAATCATAGCCATGGAAGAGTTTAACTCTGTGGCATATAGTTCAGGATGCTATGTGAACATGATATCAATCTTAATTTAATGTGTGGTAGATGTCTAATGCCAGAATGTAATTACCTACATTGGATCTTTACCAGAAATTTAGTGCAAAATAGCTGTCTTGGGCAAAGACAGCATTGGAAAAGGGACATAATAAACAGGAGTTTGGTGCAGTAGTAACTTAATGGCCCTGACCCTAGCTCAGGGCAGTTGTTTCCTTGACCTTTGAAAGGTGTCAGTTTATTTCTGAGACGATTTTATCCTTCCTTATTGCACAGCAAGTTGTTTCAAAACACAAGAATTTGCTACTCCAAATTTAACTGTTTTGTACTCCAATTTAACTGCTTTGAGATTGTAAGGCAAATACTTTATGATTAAGGAAATTGGTAGGTCCTGTGCAGCTCTTCAGTCGTAGCAAGTCTTACTCTAGGTAATCCCTTTGGAATTTGATGCTGGTGCTGCCACTTGGACATTTCTGCTTTAATTTTTGTCACAGATTCTTTTGGGGAGTGGGTGGGATATAAATGACAAGTGCTTGCTAAATTTATGGTTTAATGGGCAGATTGTTTACACTAGTCATTTCGCTTGGCAGTGCTTTGATTTGTTGGAATTTTAAGTAAATTATTTTACTTATGGTTTCCTAATTTGCAAAATTGAAATACGTGGTCTCTCCTTACCTCAAAGAGATACAAAGAATATTAATAAGGTAACATTCCCAACCTCAGTGGGATTCTGATGCCACATAAATATATGGTATCATCATCCTCCTGCTCGTTATCATCCATTAGCAACATTGTCGTCAAGGTTTTCTCTGTATCTAGATTAATTATGACTAAGGAGTAAATTATTCCATATATGGAATCTGATTTTCACTCTGACACTCTTTTACAAGTATGTTAGCTTAGGTAACATATACTTTATTATCAGGTACTCTATTATAGAAGATGATCTTGTGGTAGCCAGTGTTCTATATGTTCAAACAGGGATTCTTCATGTTAAATGTATTTTTTTTTCTGACTTTTGGTAGTTGGAAAAAAGGTTTATAAAAGCTCAAATTTTCAAAATAACCTGTCCACAAGAACTTTTCCACACCCATGTAAGAGTGGTAGATATTTCTGGCATGATTTTAAAGTACATCTAATTTGTGAAGATAAGAATACTCTATTAAGTATGGGATTTTTTACAGGTGTAACACTTTGAAGGTACTAGAGATTTAACAGTAGATGTTGAATTTATTTCTAGGGGTAGTATTTGTGATTTCTGTTACAGTGTCTTTAAAAAGTTGTCTCATGCATGGATTTTCAGCTCAGAAGTCTATCATGCTTATCTCTGATGTGGTTTGAAATTATTATGAAATGGAGCTGTATGGCCTAGAACCTTCTTCAATATTTAAGTTCTTGAAATTAGCACAGGGTAGGATTTCATAGAAGCATATTTTCAGTTTAAGGAATAAATAGTGACATTGAAAGAACTCCTCAACTTCAGATTAATTCCTTTTCATTAGATTAATATTTGACATTAGTTCCTAAAAGATCCTCAACAGTAAAGGTAAGAAAGGATTATGAAAAACAGAAGTTGACACATTTTTTGACAGTATGTTTACATTTATAATTCAGTCTCTAACTATATCCCTCATTCATCCTGCCTTATCTCTGTAGTGTTTGCCACCACCTGATACATAACTTTTGTTGATTATTTCCTTCCAATAGGATAAAGGAGCCCTGAGGGCAGAGACACTGTCTTTCGCCACTACCGTCTGACATGCGGTAGGCACGCAACAATGTTTGTTAAATGAATAAATGAATGAATAAGTTCTTGGTCTTAGAAGATGGTGGAACAAAGGAAATGTGATTCCAGAACTTTATATAAATCCAATTTTCCCTTCAAGACCATTTTAAAACAAACTTTTAAAAACGAATATTAAACAATTGTGATTATTCAGCACCTATGCACTTCTACTTGGAAACCATCTGAGAGTATAATTCAGCCAGCAAATTGATGAAGCAAAATAAAATTGGAATAGTAAAGCCACAGTAAAAGGAATTGGTGGCAAATAGTGAATGTATTTAAATATAAAACTGAGACTGCTACATTTAGGTCTTAGATCCATTTGAGTTAAGTTTTATATATGCTATGAAGTAAGGGCAAACTTCATTCTTTTACATGTAGCTCTCCAGTTGTCCGTGCACCATTTGTTGAAAAGACTACTCTTTCCCACTGAATGGTCCTAGCAACTCTTGTCGAAATCAGTCGATCCTAGACACATGGGTTTTTTTCTGGACTCATGTTTCTAGTCCATTGATTTGTGCATCTATTCTTATGCCAGTACAGCACTTTCTTTATTACTGTTGCTTGTATTATAAGTTTGGAATTTAGGAAGTGTGAGTCCTCCAACTTTGTTCTTTTTCTGGTTATTCTGGATCCTTTGCTATTTCATATGGTTTTTAAAATCAGTGCATCAGTTTCAAAAACCTAATGTAAGAGCTAAAAGCATAAAACTCTTAAAAGAAAAAAATTAGAAACCTTTGTGTTTCAAAAGATACCATGAAGAAAGAGAATGGCAACCCACAGAATGAGAGAAACTATTTGCAAATCATGTATCTGATAAGGGATAGAGATTTAGAATATCTAAAAACTCTTACAACTCAGTAATAAAAAGACAACCCAATTAAAAAGTGGGCAAAGGAACTGAGTAAACATTTCTCCAAAAAAGATTTACAAATGACCAATAAGCATGTGAAAAGATGCTTGACATCATTAGTCATTAGGGAAATGCAAATCAAAACCATAATGAAATACCAGTCCATATCTATTATGATGAGTGGAATCAAAAGTCAGATCATAACAGGTGTTGGTGAAGAAATTAGAGAATTGGAAATCTCGTACACTACTGATGAAAATGTAAATTAGTGTAGCCACTTCTGCAAACAGTCTGTAGTTCTTCACATTGTTAACCGTAGAACTACCACTTGATGATCTAGCAATTCTACTCTACCCAAGAGAAATGAAAGCATAGGTCCACACAAAAACTTAAACAAGAATGTTTATAGCAGTGCTACTCATAGCAGCTAAAATATAGAAACAATCCGAATGTCCATCGGCTGGTTAATGGATAAACAAATGTATTATACATTGGGTATACAAAGGAATAGTATTTCTTAGAAAGGAATGAAGGCTGGGCATGGTGGTGTATGCCTATAGTTCCAGTTACTTGGGAGGCTAAGGTGGGAGAACCACTTGAGCCCATGAGTTCCAGGCTGCAGTAAGCTATGATTGTGCCACTGCACTTCAACCTGAGCAAAAGAGCGAGACCCTGTCTCTCAAAGAACCACTAAAACAAAAAAAGAGACTTCATACACAAGTGAGATTGACAGTTTCTTTTTAAGGTAATAAAGTAGTGATACATGCTCCAATATAGATGAACCTTAAAAATATTATGCTAATCGAAAGAGGTAGCTTACAAAAGACCACATTTACATGAAATGTCCAAAATAGGTAATAGAGACATAAAATAGTTGAGTGGGTTTTAGGGATTGGGGAGGGTTGAAGGGACAGGGGTTGGGGAGGTGACTGCTAATGAATACATAGTTTCTTTTGGAATGATTAAAATGCTCTGAAATGGACTATGGTGATAGTTGTAGAAACCAGTTAATATAGTAAATACTGTCCGGGAGTGGTGGCTCACGCCTGTAATCCCAGCATTTTGGGAGGCCAAGGCGGGTGGATCACAAGGTCAGGAGATGGAGACCATCCTGGCTAACACGGTGAAACCCCATCTCTACCAAAAATACAAAAAATTAGCCGGGCATGGTGGCGGGCGCCTGTAGTCCCAGCTACTTGGGGAGGCTGAGGCAGGAGAATGGCGTGAACCTGGGAAGTGGAGCTTGCAGTGAGCTGAGATCATGCCACTGCACTCCAGCCTGGGCGACAGAATGAGACTCCATCTCAAAAAAAAAAAAAAAAAGATATAGATATATATATATATAAAAAATATATATATATAATATATATATATAAAATATATATATAATATATATATAATATACATATTATATATTATATATAATAATATATAATATGTATATAATATATATATTATATATATCGTTATGTCTCAATAAAACTGGTATTTTTGAAAAGTAAGACCAAACAGCTGTGTGAACTATGGCAACAGATAAGAATGTCAGTGTTAACTATGTTTTTAAGAAAGGGGAGTAATATCATCTAGCAAAATTGGGAGAGGAGATTTCCTTATCTTTCACAGCATATTACCCTTGTCCTAATTCCTGTCATTCATTTTTGTTTGTTTTTAAAATTTATGTTCTCATTTTATTTTTTTTTATGTTTCTGATGTCTCTAATGGATCTAATTTTTTTAAAACTATATTCTACCTCCAGTTGAGTCCAACTATATTTTGTTGGTTGTTCCTCATTAGAATATTTGAACTTGTAAATTCCAAGACTGTAGCAAAATCTTCATGCCACTGTATCCTTGCCAAGGATCAAAGGAAATCTTGTGCAAACTTTTAAGCTAGTCTGCCATCTTCTACCTGAAATTCTAGGTTTTGTAGAAATAACTTATATTTTAAATACTAGATCAGCTTGTTTTTACATCTTTTAATATCTTTCTGAACAATTGCAGTTAATTCATTATCTGCAGTTTTTTTTTTTTTTTTTTTTGAGACAGAGTCTCGCTCTGTCACCAGGCTGTAGTACAGTGGTGCAGTCTCGGCTCACTGCAGCCTCCAACTCCCTGGTTCAAGCGATTCTCCTGCCTCAGCCTCCCAAGTAGCTGGAATTACAGGCATGCACCACCACGCCCTGCTAATTTTTGTATTTTTAGTAGAGACGGGGTTTCACCATGTTGGCCAGGCTGGTCTCGATTTCCTGACCTCATGATATGGCCGCCTTGGCCTCCCAAAGTGCTGGGATTACAGGCGTGAGCCACCGCACCTGGCCTATTATCTGCATTATTTAAAATGGTTTGGGATAATTAGAATTATTATCTTTATTACTTATTGCTTGTTGCATGTCTTATCTATTTGTACTTTTTTGGCTGAAGTATTTCCCAAGTAATATCTTGCATTGGTTGTATAATTTCTGAGTCTTTTTGTTTTAAAAAAAACAGTTTTCCTTTATTTTTATGCTTAATACAGCTGTCCCTTGGCATCCATGGGGGATTGCTTCCAGGAGCCTTCTTGGATACCAAAATCCATGGATGCCCAAGTTGCTTATGTAAAATGATGTGATATTTGCAAACAGCATATATACATCCTGCTGTATTTTTCAAATCGTCTTAGATAACTTATAATACCTAATACATTATAAATGCTATGTAAATAATTGGTACACTGTAGTTTTAAAAAGTAATACTTTTTATTCTTGTATGTTATTAAAATTTTTTTCTGAATATTTTGAATTGTGGTTGATTGAATCTGCAGCTGCTGAACCTATGGATACGAAGGGCTGACTGTTAATATTTTGTTTCCATTCTGGGGTTATAATCCTTTTCCTCAGATTTGTGTAATTATTGCTCTATACTTTTTAGCATTTAGAATTGCCTTCCCTGTCCCTTTCTTCCTCTTCTTTTCTTCCCTCCTTTTCCTTCCTTTCCTTATTTCTTACTAGGGAGCTCATAGTGACTTTCTTTTTATTATTTTATTTAGAAACTCTACCAGGAGTTTGTGCGTAGATGATCTGTCAATATTCTTATCTGGTATTTCATGGGCTGTTTATCCTCTTGGAAGTTTTTCGTTAGGTTGATGATTCTTTCTCTTTCATTCAATTGTTTTCACAGCTATGATAACTCCTGGATATGACATTTATGTTTCTCATTTGTTCTTTCATTATTTTTCCTTTACATTCTGGAAGGTCACTTTCAGATCATTTTCTAAATCAAGATTTGATCTTCCCCGATGTTTATTTGTTTGCCTAAGGTCTCCAGTGAGTAGCTTCCCTAAGTAACTGGTTTTTCATTTCCTGGAGCTCTTTCTTGGTACTCATTTGCTCTTCCTTCTTCATAGGCTTCTTGTACTGCCTCTGAGAGGCAGTATCTTTGCATTTCCCAGAAGATACAGAGGAAAGGCCGTTTCCCCTGCCTACTCAGCTTGGCTCCTATCCCATTTTTGGTCTTCTTCCAGTGTTCATTGACCCTTCATAGCCTGCTTGTTTTTATAGAGAGGTATAAACTGATCAATGTGGGTAGTTGGCAGGTGCCCCTCGATGCACTTGTGGAAGTCTCTGTTTGCTGTCTCCCAGGGGTCTCTGCTCACCAAATTGGCCAGTGGAGATGAACCTCACTAGGGTCCACAGGCCAAAAGTTGGCCTTCCCTTCCAGGTGTATTTCCTGGGAACAGACAAGAATCATGATCCCTTTAGGAAGCCACCACAGGGGTTGAGGAGGAGTTTTCTGCACACTGATGATTTCTGTCCAAAGCAGAGGTCTTAGAGATGTGATGTGAAGTCCTCACATCTTTTTTTTTTTTTTTTTTTTGAGACAGAGTCTCACTCTGTCTCCCAGGCTGGAGTGCAGTGGCGCGATCTCAGCTCACTACAGCCTCCGCCTCCCAGGTTCAAACAAATCTCCTGCCTCAGCCTCCTGAGTAGCTGGGACTACAGGCGTGTGCCACCACGCCTGGCTAATTTTTGTATTTTTAGTAGAGATGGTGTTTCACCATGTTGGCCAGGATGGTTTCCGTCTCCTGACCTCGTGATTTGCCCACCTTGGCCTCCCAAAGTGCTGTGATTACAGGCATGAGCCACCGTGCCCAGCCAGTCTTCACTTTCTCAAGAAAACCATCAATAACTGAGACCTATTCCTTCCTCAGGTCTTAAGAAGCAGTTATCAGAACCAACTTTGCTATCTGCCAGCACCTTCCCTCTTTACCCCATCCCTTCCTCTGCCTGGCTGTCAGAGCACATTGAGTAGAAGGAGGGGGCTGAGAATCATCAGCCCACTAGGAAATACCATGGCCGTTCCCTCCTCTCACCAAGCTAAGTGAGGTGGGCATCAGAAGACTTACTTGGAAAATTCGATGGTGCTTTAAAAACAAAAAAAAAGACTAGGGTCTTACTCCTTAGTTGGAAATCTGTTTAGGTAGTATGGAAAACACTGTTGGTTGTCTGTCAATTTCTGTTTTTCTCTTCTGAGTAGTGGAATTCTCAATTTTTGTCTGAGTACATGTCCTCAGACATGAAGAACTACATTTTTTAGCTCCCCTTATACCTAGGTGTGGTCATGTGACCCCCTTCTAAGAAATCACTTTTAGGTAGAAATGATGTGTGCAGCTTCCTAGAAGAATCCATAAAGTAGAAGGGAAATAATCCTCTTGATGGGAAGGTGCATGTGATGGCAGGAATTCTGCCAACCATTTTGTACCAAGAGTTGGAAGCCATATGATGCAGAGAGTGGAGAAATATATAGAAAAAAATAACGTCCCTAGTAATTGTTAGGATACTACGCTAGCCCTTCCTGTCTACCAGCAGACTTATGTAAGTGAAAGAGAAATAAACCTTCATCTTATTTAAACTTCTCTAGCTTTTCTATCACTGTTACATGAGCTTAGTTCTAATAGAGGTAGTCTACTAAAGCAGGGAAGAAGAGAATGGGAAGAGAAATGGCAGGGCAGAGAGAAAGGACAGCAGTGGAATAGCCACCCCCTGTCTCTTAAAAAGGTACACTACCCAGAAGATGCACTCCCAGTGAGGAAACCCCAGCAGCTGGACACTGTAAGCTGTGGTGTTGTTGGCTGTGCTTGAAGCAGTTGTTGGGGGCAGGGAGTGTGTGAGAAGAGGCTGTCCCTTGGTACCATAGTTATAGAAGAATGAGAAAGAGGAAGGAGGAAGGAAGAGGAAGGAGGAAGAAGAGGAAGGAGGAAGGAGGAGGAAGGAGAAGGAGAAGGAAGAAGGAGAAGAAGAAAAGAAGGAAAGAAAGAAAAGAAAAGAAGAGGCTATCCCAAAGCCATGTTTCTCCCTCCCTCAGGGAACTGTGCAGTGGTATAGCCTTCCCCTCCACCCCCAGGCTTTTGCAGATCCAACTTCAGCAAAGCATGCTTGAGTTAGCATGTGTCTATTTGCCACCTAGCGACCCAGCTGGGCATTGTTAAACAAAGAAGTAGAGATCACCAAAAAGAAGGAAATGTAACCTCAGGCAGTTAAGCAGGACCAGAAAGAGGGAGGTGTTCCCAGAACCAGGTTCAGCTTCTCTTCCCAGTCAGTGGAGAGCCTGGCCCTTCCCAAGCCACGTGCCCTGAGCCATAGGACTGGCTTGCATTAGAGTGGTGATGTCAGAAAGTAACCAGGAATGTCTTGGATCTGCCTGCATGTGGTTGAAGGTTCTTCTTAGGAGAAAGAGTATTTGACAGTGCAGCTGGGGGCAGTGGTGGAAGATTAAATGCTTCATGTGTTTATCTCCCTAAGTGCAGGATCTCTAGTAAACCTAACGCAGGTACCCATGGAAATGTTAGTGCGGATGGAGTTGATTTTGTTGTTGTTGATGTTCTCTCTGAGACAACACAGGGATGGAATACTGTGGACAGCCACTCTCTATTGGAGTTTTTGATAGAATCCCTAAGTGTGTTGGTTTGCTTCCCATCTTCTCCTTCTTCCTTACTCTTTTTGGTAGAGCCCGTGCACTGGTTAGGGCTGGGGTCACAGGCAGCCTGTGTCCAGTCAGAGCTGTAGCTAGCAGAGGAGTAGACCTGGAGGTGTGGTGCAAGACTGGTCTTCCCATTCCCTCTCTGTCACTGTGGTCCTCCCTTGTACCCCACTGTAAACGATCTGTGGCACAACACCTACCCTCCCAATTACATGGTGAGCCGTGTTCTCCAGGCATTGCCATGGTGGCCCCTCAGTTTCTGCTGCCCCATTTCTCCCTGGCTGTGGTGTACAGCCAGGTTGCTGCTTACGGCTTGCAGGTTTTTAGGGGTTTGTAAGGTGCCTTCGTATAAGGTTACTGCCTCTGTGTTGTGTTGATGCTAACTAAGCATGGATTATTTTTGTGTGATCCAATCATACATGCTTTATAGTGTTCAAAAAAGTTCTTTAGTTTTTCCTTTGTTGGGTGTTCCCTTTTCTGTTTCCTAGAGCTGCTATTGATATTTTTCTTAATTTTATATTGCTTTAGTGATTTCCATATGACTTTTTTAAGTAGGAGAAATAAATGTGAGTTATCAGTTTTTCTTCTTAAAAGTGGGACTATGTTGTGTCTTTGCAGGCCATGTATCCCCTGTGTGCCCTTCCTCCCAACCTATCCAGTGAAACTCAGCTTAATGCCACCTCCTTCTGGAGGCCCCAGGCTCCCAGAGCATATATACACATACTTGCTAAAGTCCTTTTTCTCTGCGTACCATATGCCCATACTTCTGATTGTGCAGTAAACAGATTTTAATGTTATTATTGCTTTGCATCTATGAGACCCAGATATATCATGGGTTCCTCAATGACAAAGTTTGCGCCTCATTTATCTTTCTGTTCCCAAACTCAGCACAGTGCCTGGCCTGAGTAAATGGTTCATAAATGTTTGCTGAAGGGTTATTTATGGCCTGCCTTCTTGATGCTTTGTGAAAATTAAAAGCTTGCAAATTATGGAATATAGCATATCATTTCCCTCATGGGAAAACTGAAATACTAAGAATTAGTTTCAGGAGTGATGTTAATATCACCTAAGAGTGTAGCCTTCTACTTTCACATACTAACTTTCTATCATGATTGTATATTTGTTTTGGTTGAGAGAATTGGAAAGGGGTTTGTGTCTGTGTGTTTTGTTGATAAAATATTCTAAATGTTTTTTAGCATAAAAAGAACAAGAAAATAAAGGAGACAATGTGACTTTATCTTGGGAGCCACATCTAAGTACAAATACAAGGAATAAGAAAATTATTCAGATTCTTAACTATTCTATGAACTTATAAAACCAGTTCTTAAATGCCTCCTTTGCAGGCTTCCTTGTAAGTCACTACACCAAAGCAGTTGCTGTAATGGAACATGTTAAAGGCTACTGTCTTCACTTCCTTCAAGCACTAGAAAAGTGTGGTGGGAGGTGTGGAGTGGGTGAGCAGAGGTGGGCAGAGCCCCATGGAGTGGGAGACCTCTCATCACCGTCCCGTGGCACTGGGAGAATATAGGAAATTTGCAGCTAGAGCTAGCTTTTTAGGCAAGAATCCACTCACATTCCATACGTGGCTGATGATAAGTCTTTGTCTGGATTTTTAAGTTTCTTTTGAACTTATATAAATCTTTACTTTTTCTGCCTTTTTTTTTTTTAGAGAAGGAGTCATTAAAGATTGAGGGCTGGAGAGTAAATGTTAGGATTAACTTAAAGCTCTGCAAACATTTATAAAATAGAGCTTTGTGAGGAATTGGAGAATGAGGAAATAATAATGAAGCACGGCCCTGAAGAGATAGAAACAGAGCTTCCGTCGCACTTTTTTGTTTCTTGCCTGAGGATCATCTTTTACTTTCCGTAGTAAGATTTTCTTTTTTCTTTTAGCAGCTGCCTTCGGCAGAGGTTTATTGAGCATCTAGCAGCTGCCAGGCCCTCTGCAGAGGTGTTGTCCATACACATGTGGAATAATCACAGACCTTGCTCTCAGGAGTCCACAAGTCAGAAGTGTAGGGTCTTCTATTGCAGCTGATAATGTAATGTTGAAAGTGATAGAGGAAAAGTTACCTAATTCAGGATTGAGGGATTAAAAAGAAGGATGAATTGGTCAGGAATTCCCCCACATGACTAAGGCAGCAATGAAACTAACAAAACCACGAGCCAGCATAGAAGCGAGAATACCCATACCCTCCGAGAAGGAAGAGAAGTTTGGTGGACTGGATATACAGTGCAGTGTGGGCTGGGCAAGGCTGGGGCAAGGGAGAGGAGATGGGACTGCATCCAGGTGACAGAGCACTGTGAGCGTTCCCGAGAGAATCTAGTATTTATTCTGTAGGAAAAGCAGCTGGACGATCTACTCACATCTGTGGTGCTGCATCATTTTCCCTTTAATAGTTCTTTCTTTTCATTCATAAACTATTTCAAATATAGTCCTATTGAAATGTCACTGTGCTTTTTGTGGGAAGTGCAGGGGATGTGTTGGTTGGGACAGAGCTGGTCATTGGAATACCAGAGGAAGCCTGTTCATCTCCTGTAGATCAACACACTCAGCAGGAAAGTAAAGAGCAGCTTCTCTTTGCCAGGCACTGGCCCTCAGTGTTTGGGACCTGTTGGGGAACAAGGTAAGCCCTGGTGGGGAGTACATTCATGACTGAAGACAGTAATACTGAGTAAATAAGCCAACAGGCCAGCAAGTTATATATTCTTTTAGAAGATGATGAATCCTGTAGGCCAAGGATTGGGAGTGCTAGGGCGGAGGCAGTGTGGGCATGGGTCACAGAGACCTCATGTGGAAGGCAACATTTGAGTGAAAAGCTGAGTAAAGTTGGGGGTGGTAGCCATGCAGATTTCTAGGGGAAACATTTTAGGCAGTAGGAACAGGTGCTGCAAAGCCCCTAGGTCGGGAACATGCCTGGTGTGTTGAGGAACAGCCTGGACGCTGATGTGGGTGAATAGGCAAGAGGATTGGCCTGGGAAAATGGCAGTGGAGCAGAGAAGACCTGAGGTTAGCCTGAAGAAGGGGAGGGAGGAGTGGATGATCACCAGCCTTGCTTCAGGTGAGGTGGTGGCCATGAACAGCGAAGGCCAGAGAGATCACCAGGTTAGTGAGGAGATTTTAGACAGGGTGAGATGGAGAGGCTCGCAGAGTGCCCAGTTAAGGGCCAATTCGTTGTGTAGTGTGAGTCTGGAGCTCAGCGGGGGTACTGGGCTAGAAATACCCCTTGGGGAATACTCAGAAACTCAGAATATATGCTCAGGTACAGCTGCCCTAACAAAGGCCCACACACTGTGTGGCTTAAACAAAAGGCATTTATTGTCTCACCATTCTGGAGGCTAATGTCCAAAACTAAGGTGTCAGCAGGGCTGTGCTCCCTTTGAAGCAGGTGGGGGACTCCTTCCATGCCTCTTCCTCGCATCTAGGGATTTGCAGCGATTTGGCCTTCCTTGCCGTGGAGCTGCGTAACTCCGATCTGTCCTCATCATCACACGACATCTCCCTGTGTCTTTGTGTCTGTGTCTTCTCTCCTCACAAGGACACCAGTCACGGTGGACTGTGTGCCAACCCTACCCCTGTATGACTTCATCTTATCAAATTACATCGGCAGGTACTCTAATTACAAATGAGATCACATTCTGAGTTGCCAGGGATTAGGACTTACACATGTCTTTTCTGGGGGGACACTGTTCAATCCCACACTAGGCAACATGAACGAAGCCCTGGATCCAGAAAAGCCAGTAAAGAAAACAGAGAAAGAACAACCATAGGGATCAGAGGAGAATTTGGGCAAAATGAAGTGATCAAAGTCCTGGGGAGAGAGAGAAGTCAACACTCAGGAAAGTCAGGAGCACATAGTCCTAGAAAGGGTATTGGACTTGGCAGTCAAGCCTATCATTGGCCACCCTCCTAAGAGCCTGGTCACAGGAGACCAGCGGTTACTGGTGGTAAAGAAGGGAAGCAGCCAAGCAGGCTGTTCTTTCTAAGGTGTTTGACAATGAAGTGAAGTGGGGTGGGTGACGATGTGGGGAGTAGGCCAGGTGCGGGAAAGGAGATGGAGCTTTTTAGGGGGGCCCTTGAGCACTTATATGAGACCAGAAGAAGAAGTTGAAAATGCCGGAGCTGTGGAAGAGCCTGGGAGTCGGGGCCTGGGAGAAGATTGGTCCTGGAAAGGAATAGGGACATCTCTCCCACTAAGAGGCAGAAAGAAGGGAAGACTGGTGGAGTTATCCAAGTACAGCATTTGAGAAAACTTACACTCCAGTGACTTGTCTGTTTTCTGGGTGAGGTAAGGGGATAGTCTGCTGGAGAATAAGAGGAATAGGAAGGGGTAGGAACATTGAGAGGAGGGGTAGAGAACCCAAAAGGGAGCTAATTAAAAATATGTGACATGACTGAACACTATACTGACTAATATTACAACATCCTTACTAATATTAACATCCACAAGTTGATAATGCCCACTTAACACCCATTTTTTGGCAGCCAGAGAGTTAGAGTAGAAGGAAAAACAAACAGTTGGCCGGGCACGGAGGCTTATGCCTGTAATCTCAGCACTTTGGGAGGCCAAGATGGAAGGATCACTTGAACCCAGGAGTTCGAGACCAACTTGGGCAGCAACATGGTGAAACCCTGCCTCTACCCCCCCAAAAAAAAAAAAAATTAGCTGGGTGTGCTGATCTGCGCCTGTAGTCCCAGCTACTCTGGAGGCTAAGGTGGGAGGATTGCTTTAGCCTGGGAGGCGGAGATTAGAATGAGCCGAGGTTGTGTCACTGCACTGGAGCCTAGGTGACAAGAGACCCTGTCTCAACAAAAAAAGAATAAAACAGAAACAATTGATAAGGGGTTGACATTTGTCAGGGGGTATGTTCCACTATGTATTAGTAAGAATACAGGTTAATTGACTGATCAACAGAGAACCAGCCAGATTACTGAAAGAAAGTGGAGACAACATCTGAGCAGAAGGTGAAGTCAATGGAGAATTTCCTTTACACCAGAATGTGGCTTTAAGAGGTCACAGTGGAAGGCCAAAGGGACAGGGACTTGTTAGGATGGGATGGTGGTGGTGGTGGCGCTGGCTAACATTTCTTTCTTTCTTTCTTTTTCTTTTGAGACAGTCTCGCTCTGTCTCCCAGGCTGGAGTGCAGTGGTGCCATCTCGGCTCACTGCAAACTCCGCCTCCCGGGTTCAAGCGATTCTCCTGCCTCAGTCTCCTGGGTAGCTGGGACTACAGGCACGTGCCACCATGCCTGGCTAATTTTTTATATTTTTAGTAGAGACGGGGTTTCACTGTATTAGCCAAGATGGTCTCGATCTCCTGACCTCATGATCCACCCGCCTTGGCCTCCCAAAGTGCTGGGATTACAGGCGTGAGCCATTGCGCCCAGCCTATGGCTAACATTTCTTAAGCACCTACGTGGAAAATCTTCACAGTTGCCTTGTAGGGTGAATAATATTTGTATCCATCTTCTACATATGAAGAAACCAAAGTACTAAAAGGTTCAGTACCATGTCCAAAATTGCACTCCTGCTAAAAAGTAGAGCTGGGCCTGGCCCCAAGGGCGTATCTTCAGCCCCTCACATTGGATGTGCTCCAGACCAGGGAAGGCAGGGCCAGGCTGGACAGGGGTCACAGAGAGCAGCTAGCCAGGAGTGTGATTGTGAATCTCCAGATGAGGGTCAGGCCGAGGGGTAGCATCAGAGAGGAGTGTTTGGAAGGGAGTGTACCAGTCTTGGTTTGTTGTGGCAGGGGACCCTAGGAGGAGTTAGTCATCTAGTGCCCACAGTGTTCTAGGTACTCAGAGCTTTTTTGCGTTTCAAAGATTAAACAAAGTCTTTTGGATTTTTCCTTACAAATCTGCAGAGTGAATTTTCTGCCTCTTGAATTTAAATGTGAAGTGTCACGCTGGGTGAAAATATGAACATGTGAACACAAAGCCTTTCTTAGCCTTTCTTCTTTGGGGATCTCAGGGTTACCCTCTCCCCTCAGAGCAAACTCTTTATCTCTCTCTCTTTTTTCCCTGACCTTGACCACATACCAGCCTAGCTGTTCTGATGTAGGAATTTGCACATGTAACCTTCTCTTCCATTAACAGCCTTTTTACCAACTCTCTGCTTCTCTTCCTCACACCAAGAGTATGCCCATTTCTTAGCTCTCGGATTCTAAAGTACTTAGCCCTATCTACTTCTTTTCTTGGCCTTAAATGTCTTGGAAAGTATTGCATTAACCACCAGATTGTAACTTGTAGGACTTTCCTAAATTCCCATACCCCCATGACCTTCCACTATGCCAGTTCTGTCATGTGGAATAAACTTGTGTCAACGTTCTCCGTTCCCATTGTCAGGATCATTACTGTAAGAAAAAATGAGCATGGGCTCATGCCCCCTGCAGCTCTGAGTCCTTGCTGACTCTTGGAAGTCCTCTGTAATCCAAGAGGGCCAGCCTTTCTGCTCTTACTGCTCACTGCTCCCGGCATAACTCTTGACAAGTGCAGCTTGCCCAGATCAACCTGGGGTTTTCTTAAGCTTTTTTTTTTTGGTTCTCACCTGTGTTTTTTTCCAAACCATTTATCTATATCCTATTCATCTCTCAAAGCTAGCTAACAAACATTCAAAATATTTCAAAATCCACTTCTCATTTTAAAATATTGATTTATTTTCTTTTGTTATTTTTTAAAAACACTGTTTTTAAATATTGTTTTTAAACATTGACAATACTTAAGCCTATCAGGCCCTGATTGCCTGTTTCTACAGTTCAAAATAATTCTTTCTTGTTAAATACACAGGACATGGCATTATTACAGATGGCATGCATGTTCCAAAATTCACATGGAGGGTTATTCTACCGGGAAGAACGTGCAGTTGGGGTGAGCTGGATAGGGAGCCCAAATTGGAGCACACTCTGGAGCACCCTGGGTTTGGAGCCCCCCTCGCCCCCACCGCCAAGAAGGAGCTCTTTCATCCCAAAGGGAGGAGATGAGGGTGGGATTGGGCTGGAGAAGGGGTACAGTTGCAGGGAGGATATATTATCACATTCTTTTTTTTTTTTAACTTGTATATTTATTTAGCTTCAGCCTGAATCACGTAGGCTTATATGAAGTTAAGCCACTATTTACTATATTGTATCTAAGAGAAAATATACTCTGAATTATGAAAAACCATCATGAAAATATACTCTTAGAGGCAACCTGATTCTAAATCACAACCACCTTGTTTTTAGAAAAAGTGAAGCATCATCTTGGTGTTAAATTGCACAGAAAATTAGGCTACCAATTCTGTATCTAGCTTGTAGTTAAAGAAAATAGTATATGTTATAGAAAATAGTAAAGAATGCATATGGGGGCTGTGCATATGCATGTATGTGTATGTGTTGTTGGTGGTTTGGTTGTTTTCCTTATGTTATTATTTTTTCCTTGGTGTTAATCCCAGTTCTGTTGCTTACTAACTGTGACCATAAGCAAGCTCCTTAATTGCTCTGAGCTTTAGTTTTTTTTCGAGAGGTAAAATAAATATAATAGTAGTCCCTGACTCACAGACTTGTCATAATACTTAAATGGCAGAGTGCATGTAAAGCACTTGGCCTAGTGCCTGGCACATGGCAAATTTCAAACTTAAATTACTATGAAGTAGACTACAACTGCTTCTTCAGTGCCTACTACATTTCCATTTTTATGTTTCATTCTTTTGCTTAGAAAAGCTTTACCATATTTAAAAGTACAACCCAACGTCCTCTCCCTTTCCAGCTTTTTTCCCCCATAGTTCTTATCACTATTGAACTTACTATATATTTCACCTCTTTATATTGTCAGTTTTCTTCTCCTCTCACTAGAATGTAAGCTCTAAAAGGCAGGGATTTTTGCTTGTTCCCTTCACGATTGTGTCCTGGTGCCTAGAACAGTTCCAGGGCCTTAGGTGTTGCGCTATAAATATTTGTTGAATGAACAAAAATACGACTGTCAAGTGATAGTTTTGCAAATACTCAATGTGTCTTAAGCAAAAACTGAAAAGAGTAAAATGAGAGAAAATTCCATACCAATTGAGAGACACAGCAATTTTCAGTAGATTTTAAACTTCGAGTGTGTTTTAAATGTATGTATATAAATAGAAAGGAAGAAAAAAAAAGTTGAAAAAAGGTTTTAAAAATTCCTTTCCCACATTTAGACTCAGTCTTTTTTCCCTTGACACAAATAAGGAAAATATGAATGGGCTATCTTTTTACATCTTCATACTAATGTTCTCTGGTGGTTTCTCAAGTCCCTTTTCTGCCCCTAACTTCTGTGTAGTAGGGAAGCTTCTAGCACAGCTGGCTCTGGCTTGTGTAAGCAAACTCACAGAGCACTACCATGTCACTCATCACAGAGGGTACAACGTTGCCTCAAACAACAAAACCTCTTCTGGCTCAACTACTGGTTTATTGTGCTTTTGCAGTGTGAAATAAAGAGAATAGTGTTTACAATATCTCCTTTGAAAAAATGTTGTCTCTTGCTTCTTAGCTTATTTACCATCCTTCTTACCTCCCTTCCCTACCCAGCCCCCTTACTCTCATTCTGTGTAGCTTAAAGCTAAAAAAATTTTGAATAATGGGCTGGAGATTATCCTGGAAGAGAAATTGCTCTTACCAAATATCCCTGACAGCTCCCCAGACCATTAAATTAATAGCAATGAGTGGAGAGATAAGCAAAACTAATGGCATGCTTAAAGCTTTGTGACAGAGGTTTGGAGTCATCATGATTCTCAGGGTCTCCTGAGATCACTCCTACAGCCCTCCTTTCATTTTCATACTGTAGTGTTTGATTATGTAAAGTCTGCCTTCACAGAGAAGTCTGAAGATTAGCTATTAATACAGCTTTGTGATAATGTAGCACCACATTCTTAGAAACTTAAGACAACTTTCTTAGGTATTTAATTCTTAATATATTTTCTGCCCTCTTTAAGGTAGTGAAAGACTAGGTTTCATAGGGAATTCACAGATGCAAGTTCTGGGTCTTTGTTGATGGTAAGTTTAGAAGCCTTATCAGTTTTTTCCCTGCCGTTGTACCACGTATCAGCCTCCAGCATTGAGGGAAGCACACTGTTTTCGTATTATACTTGTCCAGACGGCACTGGTACTTCCCTGGATAGTTAACCTGGAAAGAAGCAAGAGTAATTTGAGGTAGGGAAAGCAGGTAACATCTCACCTGACTTTAGAAAACTCCCCTGGGAAGCTCCTTTTCTCATTTGTTTTTAAGAACACGTTTACAGATTACCTGTGATTCAAGACCTTGTCTTATTAAAATAAATCTTCAAGGAAAGCAATGTTATTTTGAGTAAAAGAAATGTTGAAACTTAAAATTATGGTCCCTCACTAGTTTTCTAGGTCATCCATTTTTCAAAGGGTCATAAATATGCCAGTGTACCAAGCTAAGGTTTGTGCATCTTGAAGCTGTGGAAAAATAAAGTGGTTCTTGTATTATGGAAATGAACCATTTCCCAAATACCACTAGTGCCAGGGGCAAATTCTGACTTGCCCATTTTCCTCTAAGCTAGATTTTAAGACCAGTAAACTTCTGCCACCTTTCAGTTCTTGAAGATCTCGGTTTTAGTAGCCCGCCTCTTCCTTGTGTGGTCACCAATCACCCTTCTCTTGCTCCCTCTTTTCACTGAACTGGGATGTTTTCTGCCTGTGTGTCTTCTTGTGGTGTCTGTTCTTGCTATGAGTTTTCTAGGTGTATTTTCCAAAGGCTTGCACCTTTCTATATTTTTAGTTTTGTTGTTTGAATGTTTTATTTCCAGAATTTTGATTCCTTTTCAAATCTGTTGTTTCATTTTAGCCTGCTTATAAAAATGCTTTCTTGTTTTTAGCTGATTTTTTTTCTTGGTTTAAGATATATTTAAAAGTCATTGTTAAAGAGAGATGTTTCAAAGTCATTTTCAGAATGCTATCTTATTTTCATGTTCTCTGTAGTAAATGTTCTCTTCAGTTACATTAAATAGTTCTTATTGGTTCTTTCTTGACATTAATGTTCTTTTTAAAAAAAAATCGGTTTGCAAGCCTGTATTGAATAGGACCCCTACCCCTCTTGTATTCTTATCCCGTATGGTTAATGGTTGTGTGGCTGCCACCATTCAGCCTCTAGGATGCTCTGGTCCAGAACTAGTTCTATATTGGTGGCATAGAGCTTCATCCAGCTCTGATATTGGAAATCTAACAGCTCTGTTCAGTGGAAAAGCCAGCAGGCATCTGGAGCAGACCCTTGTGTAAAGCTTTGTCTGTTGCCATGTGCCTCTTTTTTTAGACACTTAACTTTATGTTAAATAAAAAAGAAACAACTTCTTTGATCTTTTTTTCATGGGCTGGAAAATTCTGCCTCTGCATTGGATTTTAAGCAACAAGCCTGACTGAATTCCCTCTTCACTAGGTGCTTTTAGCTGTTACCCTGTTACTCATGGGGGCTGAAATCCCACCTTTGCCTTGAACTCCCAACAGACTTGCAGCTTCAGCCTTACTTTCTGCTTTGTTTTTCAGTAGCTTTGTGTTGTTTTGGGCCATTCCTACCCAGTCATGCCTTTTTAATTTTCTAATTTAAAATTTCATCATTGCTGTACAGAGAGTGGCAGCAGTGGGAATTGTGGCCTACTGGAATTATTTAAGCTAAGCTGTTGAACTTCACCCGAAAGCTCTGGGAGCCATTATACTTTAGAAGGGTGTGACCTGAGTAGGTTTTACAATTTAGAAAGATAATTTTGGTAGCATGGAGGATGGATTGTAGAAATGCCAGATAGAGACCAGGAAACCTGTTTGAAGAATTTTGCCTATAGGCCAATGAGTCATGAGAGATCCAAGGTGTTAAGGGGGTAGATTTATAAAGGACATTAGGGTCACTAGGAGCAGCTGTAGTGTACTGGCCTGGATATTCAGTGATGCCCAGATGTCTTGTTTTCACCCTCAGGGCCAGCCCTGTTTCTTAATTATACCTCTCATTAGATTACTCACTGGCTATTTCTCTTGTTTTTGGAGGCGGGGGCGGGGATTTCTAACTTTTATTTTAAGTTCAGAGGTACATGTGCAGGATGTGCAGGTTTGTTACATATGTAAACATATGCCATGGTGGTTGTCTGCAGAGATCATCTCATCATCTAGGTATTAAGCCCAGAATTCATTAGCTATTCTTCCCGATGCTCTCCCTCCTCTCATTCTCCACCCTCTGACAGGCCCCAGTGTGTGTTAGTCCCTGCAGTGTGTCCATATGTTCTCATCATTCACCTCCCACTTATAAGTGAGAACACACAGTATTTGGTTTTCTGTTCTGTTCTGTTAGTTTGCTGAAGATAATGGCTTCCAGCTCCATCCATGTCCCACAAAGGACATTATCTCATTCCTTTTCATGGCTGCATAGTATCCCATGGTGTATATGTACCACATTTTTTAATTCAGTCTATCATTGATGAGCATTTAGGTTGATTCCATGCCTTTACTAATATGAATAGTGCTGCACTGAACATACGCATGCATGTATCTTCATAATAGAATGATTTATATTCTTTTGAATGTATACCCAGTAATGGGATTGCTGGATAAAATGGTATTTCTGCCTCTGGGTCTTTGAGGAATTACCACACTGTCTTCCACAATGGTTGAACTAATTTACACTCCAACCAACAGTGTAAAACCATTTCTTTTTCTCCACAACCTTGCCAGCATCTGTTGTTTTTTGACATTTTAAATAGCCTTTTGGACTGGCATGAGATGGTATCTCATTGTGGTTTTGATTTGCATTTTTCTAATGATCAGTGATGTTGAGCTTTTTTTTCAAATGCTTGTTGGCCACATGTGTGTCTTCTTTAGAGAAATGTCTGTTCATGTTCTTTGCCCACTTTTTAATGGTTTATTTTTTTCTTGTAGATTTAAGTTCCTAATGGATGATGGATGTTAGACCTTTGTCAGATGGATAGATTGGAAAAATTTTTTTCCATTCTGTAGGTTGTCTGTTTACTCTGTTGATCGTTTCTTTTGCTGTACAGAAGCTCTTCTGTTTAATTAGATACAATTTCTCAACTTTTGCTTTTGTTGCAATTGCTTTTGGTGCCTTGGTCATGAAATCTTTACCTGTGCCTATGTCCTGAATGGTATTGCCTAGATTTTCTTCTAGGGATTTTTTAGTTTTGGGTTTTACATTTAAGTCTTTAGTCCGTGTTGAGTTGATGTTTGTATATGGTGTAAGGAAGGAATCCAGTTTCAGTTTTCTGCATACGGCTAGCAAGTTCTCTCATCACCATTTATTAACTAAGGAATCCTTTCCCCATTGCTTGTTTTTGTCAGGTTTGTCAAAGATCAGTTGGTTGTGGGTGTGCGGTCTCATTTTTGGGTTCTCTATTCTGTTTCATTGGTCTATGTGTCTGTTCTTATACCAGTACCATGCTGTTTTGATTACTGTAGCCTTGTAGTGTAGTTTGAATTCAGGTAGCATGATGCCTCCAGTTTTGTTCTTTTTGCTTAACATTGTCTTGGCTGTTTGGAATCTTTTTTTGGTTCCATATGAATTTTAAAGTAGTCTTTTTCTAATTCCATTAAGAATGTCAATGGTAGTTTAATGGGAATAGCATTGAATATATAAATTGCTTTGGGCAATGTGGCCATTTTCATGATATTGATTCTTCCTATCCATGAGCATTTGATGTTTTTCCATTTGTTTTTGTCATCTCTGATTTCTTTGAGCAGTGGTTTGTAGTTCTCCTTGAAGGGGTCCTTTACTTCCCTTGTTAGCTGTATTCCTGGGTATTTTATTTTTTTTGTGGCAATTGTGAATGGGAGTTCATTCATGATTTTGCTCTCAGCCTGCGTGTGGTTGGTGTACAGGAATGCTAGTAGTTTTTGCACAGTGATCCTGAGACTTGGCCAAAGTTGCTTATCAACTTCAGAAGTTTTTGGGCTGAGACAATGGGGTTTTCTAGATACAGGATCATGTCATCTGCAAACAAAGATAGTTTGATTTCATCTCTTCCTGTTTGAATACCTTATATTTCTTTCCCTTGCCTGATTGTCCTGGCCAGAACTTCCAATATATGTTGAATAGGAGTGGTGAGAGAGGGCATCCTTGTCTTGTGCTGGTTTTCAAGGGGAATGCTTCCAGCTTTTGCTCATTCAGTATGATAATGGCTGTGAGTTTATCATATTCACTGCAACCTCTGCCTCCCAGATTCAAGTGATTCTCCTGCCTCAGCCTACCAAGTAGCTAGGATTACAGACACCTACCACCACGCCTGGCTAATTTTTGTATTTTTAGTAGAGATGGGGTTTCACCATGTCAGCCAGGCTGGTCTTGGGACTCCTGACCTCAGGTGATCCACCCGCCTCAGCCTCCCAAAGTGCCTGGATTACAGGTGTGAGCCACCGCACCTGGCCAAAGTATTTTCTGTTAATACCTAGTTTACTGAGAGTTTTTACATGAGGGGATGTTGAATTTTATGGAAGGCCTTTTCTCATCTATTGAGATAATCATGTGTTTTGTGTCTTTAGTTCTGTTTATGTGATGAATCACATTTATTGATTTGTGTATGTTAAACCAACCTTGCATCCTGGGCATGAAGCCAACTTGATTGTAGTGGATAAACTTTCTGATGTGCTGCCAGATTCGGTTTGCCAGTATTTGGTTGAGGATTTTTGCACTGATGTTCATCAAGGATATTGGCCTGAAGTTTTTCTTTTTTTTGTTGTACCTCTGCTAGGTTTTGGTGTCAGCATGATGCTGGTTTCATAGAATGAGTTAGGAAGGAGTCCCTCATCCTCAATTTTTTGGAATAGTTTCAGTAAAAATGGTACCAGCTCCTCTTTGTACCTCTGGTAGAATTCAACTGTGAATCTATCTGGTCCTGGGCTTTCTTTGGTTTGACCTCCTCAATTTCAGACTCATTATTGGTCTATTCAGGGATTCAGTTGCTTCCTGGTTCAGTCTTGGGAGAGTGTATGTGTCCAGGAATTTATCCATTTCTTGTAGATTTTCTAGTTTATGTGCTTATAGGTGTTTGTAGTATTCTTTGATGGTTGCTTGTATTTCTGTGGGAACAGTGGTGATATCCCCCTTATCATTTCTGATTGTGTTTATTTGAATCTTCTCTCTTTTCTTCTTGATTAGTCTAGCTAGCAGTCTATTTTATTAATTTTTTTCCAAAAACCAGCCTGAATTTTTTTTTTTTGCAGGTTTTTTCATGTCTCTGTCTTCTTTAGTTCAGCTCTGATCTTGGTTATTTCTTGTCTTCTGCTAGCTTTGGGGTTTGTTTGCTCTTGGTTCTCTAGTTCTATTAATTCTGATGTTAGGTTGTTAATTTGAGATCTTTCTAGCTTTTTGATGTGGGCATTTAGTGCTATGAATTTTTCTTTTAACACAGCTTTAGCCGTGTCCCAGAGATTGTGGTATGTTGTCTCTTTGTTCTGATTAGTTTCAAAGAACTTCTTGATTTCTGTCTTCATTTCATTATTTATCCAAGAGTCATTAAGGAGCAGGTGTTCAATTTCCATGTATTAATAGTTGTGTAGTTTTGAGTGAGTTTATTAGTCTTGAGTTCTAATTTGATTGGGCTGTAGTCTGAGAAACTGTTATGATTTCAGTTCTTTTACATTTCCTGAGGAGTGTTTTTCCTCTGATTATGTGATTAATTTTAGAGTAAGTCTCACGTGGCTATGAGAAGAATGTTTCTGGGTGGACAGTTCTGTAAATATCTATCAGATCCTCTTGATCCAGAGCTGAGTTCAGGTCCAAAATATCTTGGTTAATTTTCTGTTTTGATGATCTGTCTAATATTATCAGTGGAGTGTTAAAGTCTCCCACTATTATTGTTGGGAGTCTAAGTCTTTTTTTGAAGGTCTCTAAGAACTTGCTTTATGAACTTGGCAGTGCTTTTTTATTGAGTGTTTGTATATGTAAGACAGTTAGCTCTTCTTGTTGAATTGAGCCCTTTACCATTATGTATGCCCTTCTTTGTCTTTTTTTTTTTTAATCTTTGTTGGTTTAAAGTCTGTTTTGTCAGAAACTAGGATTGCAACCCCTGCTTTTTTCTGTTTTCCATTTGCTTGGTAACTTTTCTTTCATTTCTTTATTTTGAGCCTATGTGTGTCCTTGCATGTGAGATGAGTCTCTTGAACACAGCATACCAATGGGTCTTGTTTTTTTATCCAGCTTGCCATTCTGTGTCTTTTAATTGGAGCATTTAGCCCATTTACATTTAAGGTTAGTATTGTTATGTGTGGATTAAATCCTGTCATGATACTAGCTGGTTATTGTGCAGACTTGTTTATGTGGTTACTTCATAGTGTCACTGGTCTGTGTACTTCAGTATGTCTTTGTAGTGACTGGTAACAGGTTTTCCTTTTCATATTTAGTGCTTCCTTCAGGAGCTCTTGCAAGACAGGTCTGGTGGTGACCAATTTTCTCAGCATTTGTTTGTCTGAAAAGGATCTTAAATCTCCTTCACTTATGAAGCTTAGTTTGGACAGATATGAAATTCTAGATAGGAAATTCTTTTCTTTAAGAATGTTGAATATTGGCCACCAATCTCTTCCAGCTGGTAGGGTTTCCACTGAGAGGTCTGCTGTTAGTCTGACGTGCTTCCCTTTGTAGGTGATCTGGCCTTTCTCTCTGGCTGCCCTCAACATTTTTTCTTTTATTTCGACCTTGGAGAATCTGATGATTATGTGTCTTGGGGATCATCTTCTTATGAAGTATTTCACAGGGATTCTCTGCATTTCCTGAATTTGAATGTTGGCCTATCTTGCTAGGCTGAGGAAGTTCTCCTAGATGATAACCTGAAGTATATTTTCCAACTTGGTTCCATTCTCCCCATATTGTTCAAGTATCCCAGTCAGTTGTAGATTCATTCTCTTTACATAATCCCATATTTCTCAGAGGTTTTGTTTATTTCTTTTCATTCTTTTTTCTCTATTCTTTTTTGCCTGTCTTATTTCAGAAAGACAGTCTTCAAGCTCTAAGATTCTTTTCTCCACTTGGTCTATTCTGCTGTTAATATTTGTGATTGCATTGTAAAGTTCTTGTAGCATGTTTTTTAGCTTAGCTCTATCAGGTTGGTTCTGTTCCTCTAGACTGGCTATTTTGGCTGTCAGCTCCCATATGTATTGTTTTAGCTTCTTCGCTTTGGGTTACAACATGCTCCCTTAGCTCAGCAAAGTTCATTATTACCCACATTCTGAAGTCTCCTTCTGTTATTTCAGCCATCTCATCCTCAACCCAGTTCTGAGCCCTTGCTGGAGTTACTGCAGTCATTTGGAGGAAAAGGGGCACTCCAGATTATTGAGTTTTCAGAGTTTTTGTGTTGATTTTTTTTCTCATCTTTGTGGGCTTATTTACAAATGAGTTGCTGACCTTTGGATGGAGTTCTTGTGGTTTTGTTTTTGTTGTTTTGTGTTTGTATGTTTGTTTGTTTTTAATAGTCTGGCCACTCCAGACCCTAGTTGCCTCAGTTTTTCCAGTACCTATCACCAGTGAAGGCTGTGATATAGCAAAGATGGCAGCTTGCCCCTTCCTCTGGAAGCTTCATCCCACAAGGGTACTGACCTATTGCTGGCCTGAACGCACCTGGAGGAGGTGGCTGGAGACCCTGGTTGGAAGTCACACCCACTCAGGAGGAACAAGATCAGAGACCCACTTAAAAAAACAATCTGGCTGCTTTTTGGTAGAGCAGCTATGCTGTGTTGGGGATCCCTTCAGCCCCTGATTGGTTTGGGCTCTCCATGGCCCACAGGCAGCCCAAACAGGCAAGGTGATGACCTGCCCCACCACTCAGGCGCTCTGCCCCAGGGTGAAATTAGAGCTCTTTAGGCCCCAAAGAACATGGGGTGGGAGGGGGTGGCTGGAGGCCCCAGCTGGGAGGACCCGCCCCACAAGGAGGAGTATAACGGAGTCCTGCTTAAAGAAGCAGTCTGGCCACACCTCTACAAAACAGCCTTCATGGTGGGGAACCCCCTTTGCCTCAGTCGGCTAGGACTCTCCAAAGCTGGCAGGCTGGAATGGCTGAGTTATCCAACCAACCCAGGTGGTGGCCCTTTCCTCTTCCAGGCACTCCATCCCAGGGAGACATCAGAGCTCTGTCCCTAATACATGCGCTTGGGCATGGCTGGTGGGCCCACCAGGTAGGTCCCGTCCAGTGAGGAGGAATGGATTGATGTCCTGCCTAAAGTAGCAGTCTGGCCTTTAACTGACAAAGCTGCTTTGGTTCACTGCTGGGGGGACCCTTCCTCGTTGGGACCCTTTGGACTCTCCAAAGCCCGCAGGTTGGAACAGCTGAGTTATCCAGCAATCCAGGTGGCAGCCTGCCCCTCTCTCCGTGGGCTCCGTCTGGTCTCAGGCAGTCTCCACTCTGTTGCTGGTGGCCAGCTGGAATTCCAAGACAGTAGGTCTTATCTTGTGAAGTGCAGTGGAAGTGGGGCCCGCAGAATGATGCTGCCTGGTTCCCTGGATTCAGCCCCTTTCCTAGGGTATGTGCAGACCTCTTGCCTTGCCTGAGCTGTAGACATATTTGCTGGATATCCTGGGGCTGGAGTATGTAAAGCTTCTGGGTCTGTGTCTGTGCCTGAGCAGCTGTTCTGCCAAGACTCCACACAGCTCTGTGTGTCAGACTCAAGGCCCTGGTAGCATGGGCTCACGAGGGGATCTCCTGATCCGTGGGTTGCAAAGATCTGTGGGAGAAGCATGCTTTCCCAGTGTCACACAATCACTCATCACTTCCCTTGGCTGGGGGTGGGGGTTCCCTTGCCTCCATGATGCCCCTAGGTGGGCCATTGCCCCACCCTGCTTTTCTTCATTCTCCATGGGTTGAGTTGTTTTCCTAGTCCGTTCCAATGCGATAACCTAGGTATTTCAGCTAAGGGTGCTGTATTCACTCACCCCTTTCACTCCTCTCCATGAGTGCCATGGACTGCAGCTGCTTCTAATTGGTGCCTCTCCCTCACTGGCTATTTTGAATTGAACATTGAATGTTGGTTTTCCTTGCTTCTTCTGAACTTCAAATTTATGTTTGCTAGATACTTGTGTGGCATCCTGAATTCCATAGAAGAGTCAGGGTATGGTATTTAGGAGAAAGAAGCTGAGGCTTAGAGAGGCTCATTTATTTGCCTGTTGGTTATTGGCAAAATATGGATTTTTAGTTAATTGTCATAAGTAACTTTCTATGTCAATTTCTTCTTGTTTCTCATTCATCATTCATACATACACAAGCATCTTTTCACTTACCCAATGGAATTACTTTTCATAGCAAATTAGTATTTTTCTTCCTCTGCTTTGTGATTCTTTTGCTGAACTCCAACTTGGATAGTGATTTTTTTCCCCTTTACTTTGAACTAATTTCTATTTCTCAATTCCTCTGCTTTCCTACAGTACCATAGGTACAGGCATCATTCTCTTCCAGCCTCTTGTCTTCAGGTGCTTTGCTTGTTTCTCATCAGCCCGCAGATCCCAAGGAAACAGACATTGACCTGCGTTGTAGTAGAATAATCATGAGCAATATTCAAAAGAAAATAAGATATATCTCCTGTTCAGTGTAGGGTGTGTTTTCCCATAAAATCTAAATACTGTATTGCACAGCAATTTAAATATGAAAAAGTTGAAAACACAGCATTCATGTTTTTCCATTTTGGAAACTATGTGGTGAATACCTTTTGTTTCTATTAGAAAGATGCTAGTTTTAAAGTAATGTTTAATACTACTAAACATTAATACCAGAAGTATTAATACCAGTATACTATTATCATTAATTTTTTCCTCTTATAGTATCTGTTGCTGAATTTCCTAATCATATGCTTATATCAGGTTTGTTACATCATTGTTATTATTGAAATTATTCTCCATTAGAAGCTTAAACATGGAATTTAGAAAAAGGCATCTACAGAGGAAGAAGCCTTTTGGAAATACTGTCTTCTCTGAGGATCTTTGCCATATTGGATGATATTGGAACACCCTGCTCCTATTCATTCATTCCCTCAAGAAACATTGCTGTGTTCCCGTTATGTGCCAGGCACTGGGTTAGGCACATACTGGTGAACAAGACAGAGGTAGTTCCTGTTATTAAATTTGCCTCTAAAATTCATGGTTTTATGTATGTATGATTTGCTTCTCAAGAGATTGGCCTCCTCCAAATGGAGCAGAATAAGCACATTGTTCTTCAAATATTGGTCAGTTGAAGACAACCTTCTTTTCTATTAATTTAATCAGACTTAAACAAAGAGTATACCCTCATTCAGGTCTTCTGGACTCATAATGGGCTGATCTATGATCTCTATCCATATTCTTTATTATTTTACAAAGCCTAAATCATTGTACTACTTCCTGACCTAGAGTTCACAAGCCAAAGAAGTCTAATTTTTTTGGTGACATTCTTCATATACTAGCCACTGTATTTCCTGGAACATTTTTCTTGAGTTGTGTAGATATTTTTCGAGTTCCAGGTGACCATCTCAAAGTGTGGTTACCAGGACTTCACAGCCTCCTAGGGGTGCAGGAACCTCAGGCTTCTGCAGAGGGACTCTGCTTTCTACTCTGCTTATTCTTTGTTGAGACTACATTTTCTTGGCTTGTTAGTGTCAAACCAAAGCCTGGTGTCTTTAGGAAACTGAGGATATTCAGTACTCTGAGACTATGGGTACAGTTTTCTTTGTTCCCCTCCTGTTTGAAATGCATTGTCTTCAAATGGTCCAATTTGAATGTTCTTCCCATTTTTCAAGTCCTTTAGGTAGCCCCAAGAGATCTTGCAGTTTCCTATTCCTAATGTGACTTTCTACTTTTCTGGAAAAACATTAGAGCCTTAGGAGATTTTCATAGTGTATTCCCTTTCCTAGATTGTTTTTAAAACATTAAGTAAGAATAATCTCTAAACTGGCCATTGACAGGATCTACTTTGTATATTTTGCTTTTTCAGCTTGTATGTTTTACTCCTACTTTTAGTTTTCTGTCCGAAGTTTCCTGATTATAGTGGGGTGGGAGGTGCTGGAGATGCAGCAGAGTCTGCTGTTGGTGACTGGGAGCTGGAACATTCTCCCAGTCCCAGAGTCAGTGTTACTGCTTTCTGAAATGCACTTTGTTACAGTATTTGTCAAGGCCTATGACAGTCTAGGTGAATTATGTCCATGGGTTTCCCCCTCATTCTTCCTTGCCCATATGCTTATTTATCCCTTAAAGAATTTTGTAAAAATCGTGAGGCGGTATTGATTCTCACAAAGCCACTTTACTTTCTGCCATGGGATTATCTTTATTCCTTTATGTGGTGTGCTGCCATAGACGTTGCTAGATTTTTCACTATGAAAATGATATCTAACAATATCCTGGCAGTTTGAGTTCATCTGCAGTGTGACCATTGGTTACCCTGTTTTGTTTTGTTTTTTTTTTGAGACAGAGTCTCACTCTGTTGCCCAGGCTGGAGTGCAGTGGCATAATCTCAGCTCACTGCAACCTCTGCCTCCTGGGTTCAAGCAATTCTCCTGCCTCAGCCTCCCAAGTAGCTAGGATTACAGGCGCCCACCATCGTGCCTGGCTAATTTTTTTTTCTTTTTTTTTTAATAGAGACGGGATTTCACCATGTTGGCCAGGCTGGTCTTGAACTCCTGACCTCAGGTGATCTGCCCGCCTCGGCCTCCCAAAGTGCTGGGATTGCAGGCATGAGCCACCGTGCCCAGCCCATTGGTTACCTTTTTATGGGCATTAGTAATCTGTTGGCATTTTCATCATAGTGCATGTAGTTCTACAGTATCACTCCTGACTTCTTGAATGCCAGTCATTCTTAGCAATTTGTCGACATTTTAGTTTGTCTGTTAGATCAAGAGGCTCCTTGATATTTACCAGTGTTCCTACCTGCCTGTCTCAAACATCAGTTTGAGACTTGGAACCTGCCTTGTGTCTTCCACAGCAAATAGAGAGAAAACGTGTGGCTGTTCCTTTCCCGGACCTCTGCATCCCTCCTGTGCCTACTTCTCTAGCAGCCTTCTCTCTGTATCTGGTTGCTGTTCTTATTTATTTTGCATTTCTGTGCTTGAACCCCACTCTGTTCTTTCTTGAGCATTATTTTAATTTTACTCCATTTTGTTAAAGGCACCTTTTCCCATTTTCCTTTTGCTTGCCAGTGTATCACACAGTTCTTGTTGGTTTTGAGCTTCTGGCCCTCCTTTCCAAGTCTTTCAATAAAATGTTTCTAGTGAAACATGTAGGTATCTCATGAGGGCTTACTTATTTTAAAAAGGCTCTTTTACATTTCTCTCACAGCTTAGGTTTTTTTTTTTTAATATTCCTTCTAAAATTAATTTACTATCTGCTATTTTTGGAGGAGAGAGGTCAAGAGAAATCGAGGTGAGGAAGGAGGGAAAACAGCTTATTATCCACATAATATGATGTTGCTTTGGCCTCTCTTGTTTTGTGACTTACAAAGACTTGGATATACCACTTGCCAGTGGGATTGAAGGCTCCCAACACTGAGTTATTTGTCCTGCCTAGAAGCCTTAGCTCTACTTCTTGTCTTAAATGAACTCTCCCATATGGATAGTTGAGACTTACATTGTTGTAACCACAGGCCATGTTGTGGCGTCTCAGTCATTGAAGCATTTCAGTAAGTTCTCTTTTTTTTGTTGTTGTTCTGTCATTTTATCTATTAACTAAAGAATTATTAGCTATTTAGATGCCAAGGTTATTGCTCTCTTCCTACTTTAATGTTATAGTAGTGACCATTTTAAATGTAATTATAGTATTCATAAAAGGAAAGTAAAACTTTATAATAATATTATAATAATGAAGACTGTATGTTGTTTACTGTGTTTCAGTCTCTTTATATGCAGCTGAAGTGACTTTTCATTATTTGTCCCCAAATTACTATAATCTGGGTGGTAACTGGCAGCAAACATTAAATCTTCTATTTATCTCTTGATTATCTTCCAACAAATATTTTTAATCCCCTGATTTTTAATCCCCAGGGGTACAGGCCATTGGCTAAATACCCCTCATATAATCAGTCCCTTTATTCACTCCTGTGCTATCACTCTCTGCCAACAGAGCTTGGGGATGTTAACTCATCTTGGTAGATATATGATCAAAATAACTCAGATTAAAGTTATAAACATTACAAAATGCATTCAAAAGCTAATGTAATTGTTTAATTTTTGATTGTGTGTACATCTCTAGTGTCATGTTAATGCCTTAGTGTATTTATGTACTTTTGGAGCTTTGTCATTGAGGTCAGGAACCTATTGAATGACCCAAACCATTGAGCAATTGGTTATGTAGCAATGATGCTTTTAGGTCACACACGTGCAGATTTCAAAATGGCTGATGAGAGCTTATTTATCTGGCTGGATATAGGTGGTAAGAGAGATTTAGTGACTTTTTTTCTTTAAGCACATTCTAAAATACTGAAATTTTGTCACTACCACTTGATTTACAGGGGACGTTTTAACCTTTCTTACGCCATGGACTCCTTCAGCAATCTGGTGAAGTGTATGGATATTCTCAGAATAATGTTTTTAGAGGTATAAAACCAAATGTGTAGAATTGCCAAGGAAACTGACTCTTAATCTGTTAATATACTTAAAAACCAGGTTTGTGATTATAGCACAAGACCTGGCAGTGGGCCTGGTAAACATTGGAACTTAAGCAGTGATGGGCAGAAGTGATGCCTCCAGGCATCTGCGGCGACTGTATAGTCGTGTTGAAATGGCTGTTGTCCCTATTGATGGAAAGGTCACAAGTACTATTACTACTGAGGATTGTGGCTTACATTCAAAATAGAAGGGAACTCTAAATTTCAGATAGAATTTAGTGAAAATAAAGACATGCATTTTAAAATTTTTTAATCCAAATCTGTGTGCTCTCCTGAGTTTTATCCATGGACCCTGTGAATCCTTGGTTAAGTATTCCTGCTATAATAAATTCCATTAAGTAAGTTGATTTGTTATTTCTGTTTATCTGTAAAGAATCTCAGTGAGTTTTTCTCTAGAAAAGACCCGGATAGTTACTTCTGGTGCCATTTTCTTATACAGAAATCATGACAGATTTTTCTGTATTTATCAGCAGCTGATAAACTGTAAAATGACAGAGAAAAGGCATCTAATATGGCTAATTTCTGATAATTGGGGTCACAAAGTATTTTTAAATTAAGATTTTCTAAAAAAAAAAAAAAAACAAAAACCCAGGAGACTTAGTTTAATATTTGTTTTAAATAATTTTAACTAATTAGAACAAATTAGAATTTATTTTAAAATTATATATTTTTTAATTGAAAAAGAATGAAAGGCTTTCAGGAATGGCACCAGAGGTTCTCAGAGGTTGTGGAAGTGGCAAAGAATTGTGACCACGGAGTTATAACTGAAGTCAGGGTGCGGGGTGCAGAACTCAACATTTTAGAAATGAAGATTCTCAAACTCAAGGAATGTTGCTGGGGCAGCTGTTCTTCGTTTTGGAGTAAGTCAGAAGAGCTGGCAGACTTGGTGAGGTTGTTAAAGCACGGTCAGTCTTCCAGAGCAGTGGCTGAGTCCTTAGAAAAAAAGCAAGAGCTGGAGGGTGCTGTGAGAACAGAGCCCTGCATATGCTTTCTACTCTGACTTGTGAGAGCTCCAATTCGCCTCTGTGGCTAAAATGTAAACACATGACAAAAATCAATACCATTATTTCAACAAATATTTTCCAGCCCTCCTGTGTGCTAAGCAGTAGGGGTGAGAGATGGAAAGCCATGGCCCCCACAGTGTGGAGAGTGGACGGACAGACAGAAGCAGTGTGTGCAGCCTTGCCTCTCATCAGAGTCACTGGGAGCAGGGTGCGTTTGGGGATTGTTACCTTGTCATGTGTAATCAGTGTTCTGATTCCCTGTGAGAGCCCTTAGTCTACTTTGAGCATTTCAAAACTCTAGTGGAACTATACCTTAATATGCCTTGAGCATACAAAGGCAAACAAAGATGTCACATTTGTTTAGTCTGGTTAGCATTTGTCACTCTGGAGTAACAACCCTGTGACTGTATGATGTTCCAAATTGTAATTATAAACATTTTTGAAGAAAAATATAATTGCAACAGAATAAGGAAAAATCATACAAAATTGGGGTTATGAGTGTGAGGAAGAATAGTTTCTGAACTATAGAGCTGGGCCTTGGGCTGGGCTGGAGGCAAATAGAAGAGGCTGGGAGTATAGCACTGGTGAAAGGGCCCAGATAAAGTGATGCTGTCCTCTGCTCCAGAGCCACTGCTGGCTCCCCAGTGCCCACTGAACAAACTATAGACTGGCATATATAATTTGCTCCAGAATAGCTTCTACTTACATTACATAAATATAGCACTTTATTCCCCAAACATTGCCGGTGCATTTATCTCTCCTTTTGCTCATGCTGATGATCACTGCCCCCTTTAGAATGTCTCATCCTCACCTTTCCAAACCCCCACTCCCCCAGTCCCTATCCCCCACCCCTGCCCACCCCCATGGACCCTACTTTTTCTCTTTAAGTCTGGGATACGTGTGTAGGACATGCAGGTATGTTACACAGGTAAACACGTGCCATGCTGGTTGGCTGCACCTATCATCCCATCACCTAGGTATTAAGCCCTGCATGGATTAGCTATTTATCCTGATGCTCTCCCTCCTTCCACCTCCCTGACAGGTCCCAGTGTGTGTTGTTCCCCTCCCTGTGCCTGCGGACCCTACTTTGATCTGTCCATGTCATCTGTCCCTCCTTTGGATCTCTATCCTCCCACCCCACACTTTGTAACCATCTCAGGATGCCTTTCTTAATCCCTGTGGCCTCCCTTTTGTAGCCTCTTCAAACCTCTGTCTACTCGACACCCATAAGGCAGGCTACAGGCTACAGGAGGGCAAGGCAAGGCCCTGTCTCTGTCGCCTTTGGATTTCCTGGAATCACAGCCTGCGGCCTGCTCCTGGTCGGGTAGCGCCTTCTCTCCATTCCTTCCCTGCCCACTGAGCCGCAGTGCTTCTAGGTCTGCACCTGCCTGACTCCTATCCAGCTCTGGAGCGGGGCGGGGGCGGGGGAAAGATCTGCATCTGGCCCCAGCTGCTAAGTCAATGTCAGCTCTGCTGAGCTGCTAACTGGGAAAAACTGGTTCATGATGGAACGTAAGGTTTTATTGTTGCTGTCCTTGATTAATAACTTTCACTTACAGAGAAGCAGTAAACAGTGCAGCTGCTTGTGTGGTCTTAGGCATTTCCAGCTCACTGGTATCATGAGCCTCCTCTTGTGTCTGTGAAATCAAATGTTAGAGGAAAAGATTTCCTGTTCTCTGGTTATCTTTTACCACATGTAGTTCTTTTGCAGACAGATCTCTTTTTCCGACACCACATTTGTAGTCAGGAAACTTTGGCTCATTCATTGAGATTTTTTAAATGGAATTTGCTCCATATATAAAGTTTGTTCCATTCTTAATTGTGTACTGAAATCATTGGGGAATTATATGCCTAAACTTCAGACTGAATGTTGTCTTATTTATTCAAGTAATATTCCTGAGTACTCTCCATGTGGCAGGTATTCTTTAAGTGGTGGGAGCAATGAGAAAAAACAAACAGAGCCCTTAACCTCATGGAGCTTACAAGCTCACTAAACCAGTGAAGATGCTTTCTCTGTACTTAGAGTCCAATGGACTGAGAACTCCGAGGTGAAGCACGCCAGGGGAGGATGAGGTGAAGGTAGAGATGGCCAGGTCCAGGAAGGCCTCTTGGGGGAAGGAAGGGAGGAGTGAACCCTGGGGAAAATGTTCTGAGTAGAGGGAAAGGGCAACACCCAGACTCTGAGATGGGAGGAAGTCAAACTGGAAAGGACAAATCACTTGGAACTTAGAGGCCGCCCCACTGAACCATACGGGACTGAAGAGGCAAACAACGTATGTTACAAGCAATTTTGCCTGTCTTCACATTCCTACATATATTCTTCTTCTTGTTTCAGCTGAAAAGCCTGTAATGTGTTCAGCCTTACTCATTAATGTGTTATGGACTTCTCTTCTGCTGTGTTTGAAATGTTTTTCCTTACTAAAATTGTTATTCAAATACCTTCCCTTAATTCATTTACACTTTAGAAGATAATAGTTCTATTAACATTTACAGGATAATTAAATATATAAATATATATTTCATCTAATTTCTTTTTTTCTTTCTTTCTCTTTTTTTTTTTTTTTTTTTTTTTTTTTTTGAGATGGAGCCTCACTCTGTCACCCAGGCTGGAGTGCAGTGGCACAATCTCAGCTCACTGCAAGCGCCGCCTCCCGGGTTCACACCATTCTCCTGCCTCAGCCTCCCAAGCAGCTGGGACTACAGGCACCTGCCACCATGCCCAGCTAATTTTTTTGTATTTTTAGTAGAGATGGGGTTTCACCGTGTTAGCCAGGATGGTCTTGATCTCCTGACCTCGTGATCCGCCCGCCTCGGCCTCCCAAAGTGCTGGGATTACAGGTGTGAGCCACCGCACCAGGCCAATTTCTTATAAATAAATGAACTTTCTCTTCACGTGGCTTTCTGTTTTAAAATTACAGATATATTTTTACCTCTGTATGATTCTTGGGGATTTAATGGTGAACAGAGTCAAGGGCCCTGCTGCTGTAGAGTTTACAGTCTAGTGGGGTAGGGGCTGTTTGTGATCTTTTTCATTTACCCCAGCTTTTGCGTTCAGTAGATTTCAGAATTTTAAAAATGTGTGCTCTTTAATTGTATTAATATTTTGAAGTAAGAGTACAGTATGTGGGGAGGAAATATGAGGGAGATGCAGTGGGTCAGTGTTGGCAGACCACTCACACTAGACTCCTGATGACTATAGCCGCCTCTCTCCCTGAACCTGAAATTTACCCCTCCCAGACTACCATTTGAGGAAGAGAGCTAGTCCATTATGAGAGACTCAGGACCAAGGCGAGGAATTGGAACACTGTAAACCCCGCAAGAGGGGAGTGGGCCTTGCAGAGAGTTCCAGAATAGTGCCTGATCAGCAGTGTCTCAGGATCATCAAAGATCCTGGCTTCAGGAGCTGGAATGTTACTTGCTGTGCTTCTTGGAAAAAGAGTCACAATGTGTGACATTTCTGACCTCAAGGATTCAGTTTTGGTGGTCATTTTAAATATGTAAAATTGTGAGCACTGTAGTTACCAACACATGACAACCACTCCACTAATCAGACACACTGTATTTTCTCTTGTAATCATCTAATATAAGTGATAGTTTGTCATTATTATGACTAGTCAATATATTATATGTGAATAGTGGCATTTATCTTATCCTACTTGGTTAGCATGCCCTCTTTCATCTCTGTTCAGTTTCACATAGTTATAAAATTAACATTTAGTTATAATGAGTTTGGAGGGGTAAAAGGGCTTCAGTGATCCTGGAATGATTGTTGTCATTTGTTTTATTTGCTGTGAGGTCTAGCACAGTGAACTCAGGCCTTCCCTGATGCAGCTTTAAAAGCACATGGGATTTACATTCCATTTTGTAGACTACAGAATTGACACGTGAACTTTCAGCATCTATATCTGGTCCCTTTCAGCCCATTTAAAGGACTAATTCTAATTTTCTGTTTCCTTTAAGAAAGGCTATGATTTACCACTCACAAATAAATGTGGACAATTCTTTGGGTATCTGTTTGTATCTTTGAATGTTGATAAATTAACTTTATGTTTGAACTTAAATTTCCTGCTTCCTATGACTTTAAATCTTTCTCTCATTTCTCTGGCTTTGCTACTCGCCCCTGAGGCTGCCCTGACTGCGCCTTAAGAATGATATCCCATCGCAGTGTCTTTGCGCATTTTCCTAACTATCTCCTCCTGCCTGCACTTCGAGTATGTCTAAGATTCTTCTTCTGCACTCTGAGTTCTGACTCTTTATATAGCGTAACTGTGAAAACTATTGTTATTGTTATGCTAGAGCTTTGGAATTTATAGAGAGTTTTATCTGTCTTGCCCTTTGAAATTTTACCTTTTATTTCAGTAATATTAAATTATCAAACTTGTTTTATCATTCTCATAGCTCATTTTCTTTCCTACTGGTTTTTGTGTTTTTGTGTTGATGTTTGTATATTTGACATTTAGATTTCTCATTAGTTTACTCACTGTCTTCATTCACTCAGCAAATACTGTGCCAAGGCGTGCTTCCGGCATGGGAGACACTGCGGAGAACAAGATGAAACCCAGCTCTCATGGAGCTTACCTTTTAATTGGGGAGATAGATCATAAATAAGTAAACAGATAAAAGTTTAAAGTTAACGTGAAATGAAGCAGGATAAAGACGGGTGGATAAGGATAGAATGGCAAGGACGGGATGTTTTTAGCGAGGGAGGCAGGGCAGTGGTGAGGGGCACAGCATACAGAGGGGTCAGCAGCGTGAAGGCTCCAGGCAGGACCAGCTGACGCCAGACTAGGACAGCAGGGTGGCCGGAGAGGCTGCATCGTCGTAGTGGGGGATAAGTGTGGTAGGTTATGAGGTCAAGTGCCAGGGTGCCAGGTGGGGGAGGACTCAAATTGAACTAGTTAGAGGTTCCTGCAGTGGTTCCCATGAAAGGTGATGCCAGACTAAATTAAGGTGTGGGCTAAGTGGTGGGAACTGGTTAAATTTCAGTGAACTGTGCAGGGAAGGAAGTGTTAGGGAAGATTTCTAGGTTTTGCTTGGAATGGGTGCTATTTACAGACAGGGAGGGGCCATGGGAAAGAAGAGCTTTGGAGACAGCTTCAGGAACCCTGTTTGGGGCCATCTCAGTGTGACATGTGAACATATGAGAGGCTGTTGCTCCAAGAGGTGCCCTGGAGGTGGGCCTTTGGGCCCATTTGGACAGATGGTGAATTGAGACCTCGGACTGAGTGATGACACAGCTGGAGGGTGGGTCGGGGAGAAAACCCTCAGCACTGAGCCCAGGGCTAGAGTCGGGGTGCAGGGGACCTGGTAGACCTGCAGGCACTGGCACAAGAAAGAGCCTGGAGACTTGATGCCAATCGAGTGGAAAGAAAATTGGAAGAATATGCGATGTGGGAGCCCACTGAAGAAAATCTTTCAAGAAAGCGAGTTTGGGCAGTATTTTGTAGGCTTGGTTTTTTTTTTTTTTCATCAGTCTGATTTTTTGTTCTCCTTATTAGGTGAAATAAGATTTTTACTGTTAACTTGGTCTGCATGCCTCTGAAAATGCAACTCTCTTTGTGATTGGATGCATACTTCATAATCATCCCATAGTATTGAGAAGATAGAGAAAAAGATAATGATAGAAACCAACCACAACCAAAACCCTACTCATTTTGGCTCCCAGTTATAACTATGGTTTAGTTTTGGGGGTTTGGAAGCTTCTTCTGTAAAGGTCCAGATCGTAAATATTTTCTGCTTCATGGGAAATAACTCTGTTGCAGCTATTCAAGCCTGCTGTCATAGTGTGGAAACAAGCATAGAAGACCTGTAAACAAATGAATGTTTATAGGGCTATGACCTATAAAACTTAATTACAAAAGCAGATGGTAGGTCGGATTTGGCCTGTGGGCTGTAGCTCTCTGGACCTTCCATGTTTTCGTGTGTTTCAGAATCACACTTCTAACCTTTAGTTTTACTTAAAAATAATCTCTCTCTCTCTCTTTCTTTTTTTAACCTACGTTTCATTTTGAGACAGTCTTGCTCTGTTGCCCAGGCTGGAGTGCAGTGTCATGATCATGGCTCACTGGAGCCTCAACCTCCTGGGTTCGAGTAATCCTTCTGCTTCAGCCTCTTGAGTAGCTGGGACCACTGGTATGTGCCACCACAGCCGGCTAATTTTTTTTACTTTTAATTTTTTTTGTAGACATAGGACCTTGCTGTGTTTCCCAGGCTGGTCTTGCTCTCTGGGGCTCAACTGATCCTCTGGCCTCAGCCTCCCAAAGTGTCGGGACCACAGGTGTGAGCCACTGTGCCTGGCCAACACTTCTAAGCTTTAGGAATTGATCAGCCACAATGTACTGTTCAGATTTTCTTTTTTTAAGGAAACCACTTAATTTGTTACTTTATATTGTAAAACACTTTGTAACCAATTAGATTTTATCAGCTAATCTTATCCTGTAGCATGTTGAATATCAAACACATATGCTTAATTTTCTCTGCAGTTACCTAAAAATCTGCAAACACACAACCATCCTTTCCCCCATGCTCCCCTATCTTATTTACTATCTTTAGTCTAACAGTGCTTAATTCTTTTCCATGAGTTATGTGCTCTAGGCGATTCCTCAGGGATCTAGAACTAGAAATACCATTTGACCCAGCCATCCCATTACTGGGTATATACCCAAAGGATTATAAATCATGCTGCTATAAAGACACATGCACACATATGTTTATTGCAGCACTATTCACAATAGCAAAGACCTGGAACTAACCCAAAGACCTGGAACAACGATAGACTGGATTAAGAAAATGTGGCACATATACACCATGGAATACTATGCAGCCATAAAAAATGATGAGTTCATGTCCTTTGTAGGGACATGGATGAAGCTGGAAACCATCATTCTCAGCAAACTATTACAAGGACAAAAAACCAAACACCACATGTTCTCATTCATAGGTGGCAATTGAACAATGAGAACACATGGACACAGGAAGGGGAACATCACACACCGGGGCCTGTTGTGGGGTAGGGGGAGGGATAGCTTTAGGAGATATACCTAATGCTAAATGACGAGTTACTGGGTGCAGCACACCAACATGGCACATGTATACATATGTAACCTGCGCACTGTGCACATGTACCCCAAAACTTAAAGTATAATAAAAAAATTAATAATGACCTATTAGTGATCTAAATTGGATTCCCTAGCATAAGTGAAAACTTTCATGTTGTACAGCTTCCTTATTCTATGTTCTAATGGTTAAGGTGCTTATGCAAGGATGTGTGGTTCACGGTGAATGTAACATATCCACATATAATCTATTCAATGTATATAGAACGTTCACCACGAATATAACATTTAGTGCCACCACTTGCTGTAGCTTCTCTGTGTCAGTGGAAATACTTACCTGTTCTTAGGATTAAATAATATATACTCGCAAAATGCCTAGGATGATATGCATGTGTCTGGTACTGAGTACTTAACAAATACTAGCTATTCCTTCTTGGAGCTGTTTAGGCGGCATGTCTATAAATGAAAAACTAGTCAAGGAAAGAGAAAAAACTCACAACATTCTCATTGTTGTTCAAAATTGACTGGTCCCTTGAAAAAGACTGCAAATACCATGGGATAAGAACTTATACCTAAAAATATTTTGAGTACAGACACTTGATGTCAGAGAAGATCTTCAGAAAGATCTAGTTTAAGGTTTCTTAATCTGCAATCCACAAATCTCTGGAAAGCGTAGGCAATTGTTTGTGTCTGTGTGTGCGTATGTGTTTCTCCTCAGAGCATCTGGCTTTTATGAGACCCTCACGGAGGGAGTGGCTGAATCCTGCTTTTGTGGTGAGCCTCATCCAGGGACTCACTTGGAGTCCTGGTTCTGCTGCTCCTAGGCAGTGTGGCTTTTAGCACCTCCATCTTTCTGAACCTCAGTACCTAGTTTCTGTTTCTCCTAGGATTGTTACAAAGCTTGAACAAAAGCACTTTTGAATTGTAAAGTGTCAAATAAATTACAGTTGTGGCCCTGCTGTGGTGAGGAAACTACGGCCAGGGGAAGTGGTTGAGTGATCTGCTCAGTGGCCACTACCAGTGGTCCCAGAGCCCTGACACCCGCTCTCCCAAGGCCTTCTCAATGCACTGTTTCCTCAAAATAAGGCCATGGCTTTTCCTGATAACAAAAAGACCCAGTGCAAAAACCATTCAACAGGGAAAAACTGGCCTTTTCAACAAATGGTGCTGGGACAACTAGATATCCATCTGCAAAAAATGAAGTTGGACCCCTAACCATACACAAAATTTAACTCAAAATGGATCATAGAATTAAGTACATGAAACAAAACTATAAAACTCTTGGAATAAAACATTAGGAGTAAATCTTCCTGATCTTGGGTTAAGTAAAGTATTCTTAGATATAACATTGAAAGCACACACAACAAAAGAAAAAGTAGATAAATGGGACTTCTGTGCTTCATAAGACACCTGTAAGAAGTGAAAAGACATTAGCCCAGCACTGTACCACATGCCTGTATTCCCAGCTATTCAGCAAGAGGCTGAGGTAGGAGAATCACTTGAGCAGGTTTTGAGGCTATAGTTTGCTATGATTATGCCTGTGAATAGCCACTGCACTCCAGCCTGGGCAACATAGTGAGACCCTGTCTTTAAAAAAAAAAAAGGAAGTAGGCTGGGCGTGGTGGCTCATGTCTGTAATTCCAGCACTTTGGGAGGCTGAGGTGGGTGGATCATGAGATCAGGAGTTTGAGACCACCCTAGTCAACATGGTGAAACCACGTCTCTACTAAGAATACAAAAATTAGCTGGGCGTGGTGGTGCATGCCTGTAATCCCAGCTACTCAGGAGGCTGAGGCAGGAAAATCACTTGAACCCGGGAGGCAGAGGTTGCAGTGAGTCCAGATCGCGCCATTGCACTCCAGCCTGGGTGACAGAGCAAGACTCCATCTTAAAAAAAAAAAAAAGAAAGAAAAAAAAGAAAAGAAAAAGACAACCCTGATAATGGGAGGAAAGATTGCAAGTCATATATTTGATAAGGGACTTGTATTCAGAATATATATATATGTATGTATATGCATATGTATATATATATAAACTTTTACAGCTCAACAAATGACCCAATTTAAAAATGGCTAACGGATTCAAATACACATTTCTACAAAAACAAGATACAAATGGCTGATAAGCATATGAAAAGATGCTGAACATTATTTATTAGGAAAAAGAAAAACCACAACAAGATAGCACTTCACACCACTAGGATGGATATAACAAAAAAGACCACAGCAAGTCTATGTAGGATGTGGAGAAATTGGAACTCTTGTTCATTGATGGTGAGAAGGTGAAATGACGCAGGCATTTTGGAAAATGGTCTGGTAGTTCTTCAAAATGTTAAATATAGTGTTACTGTATGACCCAGCAACTACATTCCTAGGTATATACTCAACCAAAGTGAAAACATGGTAAGCGAAGGAAGCCAGTCACTAAAAACCACCTATTGTATGATTCCATTTGTATGAAACATCCACAGTAGGCAAATATATAGTGACAGGGCTGTTGGGGTCAGAGTGAGAGTTGGGGACCAGAGAGTGGCTGCTGATACTAGGTTCTGAGGTACTGAGTACTAGGTACGGAGTTTCTTTTTGGGGTGATGAAAATGTTCTGGGCTTAGATGGTGATGATGGCATCTACTGCTGTGAATGTACTAGAAACCACTGAACTGTAAACTGTTAAAAGGGTGAATTTTATGGGTGTGAATTATATCTTAATGAACTGTTATTAGAAAAGAATAAAAATAACAGACTTCCAAATTTGCTTTCTTACCTTTGAAAGACTGTGGATGAAACATACTTTTTTTCTTTTGATTTCCCGGCAGCCACATGACCTTTACTCACAGGCCTAAATGACATGAGTTTAGTGGTCTAAATAGGGTCCCTGGTGAGCAGTTGCCTGAATACCATTTGCATGTGCCAGGGGACAGCTTCTGCTCCAGGGCACACATGCAGGACCCAGCAGTGACGAAGACCAGTGACCTTACCCCTCAAAGGGGTTTTTCCAGTTGAGGATTCACGAGGCAGCAGGGGAAGCCTGTTTGCACTGTGCCCAGCTATATTAGCCTACGAATAAACCAGTGACAAAGATTTTGAGCCTTATTATTTTAGGGGACTTAATATTAGATTATTTTGTTCATTATGCATAAATAGAATAATTTCAGAAAGCATATCAGTCACACTTGTTTTTAAAAAGTGCTCTAAAGAACTGCAAAATATCGAATTATTCCTCAGCATTCGCTTAGAAATTGGTTCATATATACATTAGCATCTTGCTGTATGCTCTGTGTCTCAAATTAAAAAAAGATTATGCATTCGTGTAATAGATTACAAATTTATTATTGTACCTTTAGAATAGAAAATAAAACAACCCTTTTTAAATTCAGCTGTGTTCTAAAGCACATGTTCCAAAACTTCTCTGTACATAAAAATCAACTGGGGCTCATTAAAAATGTAAATTTCCTAGGTCCCTACCCCCCAAAGAGATTGGTTCAGACTGAATTTTTAAGGAAGATCCCAGATAATTCTGAGGAATAGGGTTTGCCCTATAATAACCCATGCCCTAGGAACTCCAGCCTAGAATTACGAGTAGTAGAAGGGCGGTTAAAGTGTTCTTCACATTACCATAGGTAATTAATAGGAATTAAGATATTTTTAGCAATTTGATACTGTATGTAGATGACATCCACGTTCTTATTGTGCTGTTAGAAAATAATATTTTCTCACCAACATTTCACAGTGTGTGAAATTGTAGTCTTTGTTCCTGCTGACAGCACCTTTGTGCTATGAAGCTATTAATGCAGCCCTGTCTCCGCCTGCTTTTTCCAGATTTCCTTTGACCTCGCTGAGTACACTGCGGACGTTGACGGAGTTGGCACTCTACGACTTCTAGATGCAGTTAAGACTTGTGGCCTTATCAACTCTGTGAAGTTCTACCAAGCCTCAACAAGTGAACTTTATGGGAAAGTGCAGGAAATACCCCAGAAGGAGACCACCCCTTTCTATCCCCGGTCACCCTATGGTGAGAACATGCGTGCACACCGGAGCACATGTGTGGCGTTATCTGTGGGTGTGGGGGGTGTGTGTTTTTCCTTTCATTCTGTTCATGTCTCACAGCTGAAGTCATTTGGGTGTGAGGTTAACATTAAGGTAGACTAAAGTGACTGAACTTGTTGAGAAGCATACCTTTATACGTTGCTAACTACAAGTATTTGCTGCCATTGCCTTCGGGGTGAAATTACCACCTCACTTCACCAACCCATGTTCATTCAGCCCTTCCATACAGATCACTTGAAATGGAAAATCAGACCCAATGTGATTCTTTTTCTAAACTGTTATGAGATTATACTGAAGTGATAAGGTTTCATGTTTTTTTTTATTTTCCATGAAATTTCCTTGAGCTCAAAACCTTCAAAAAAAAAGACTATTGTGTCTAATATGTTTGTAAGGAGAATATTAATGAAAGACTTCAGTGATAAAATTTCAAAGCAGTTGGAATGTTAAGATCCTCATTTTTTTCCATTCTAATTCCTCAAAAGTTAGAGAGAGAGAATGAGAGAGAAAAAGATCTAAGAAAGATTCAATCAATTCGATTGTCAAATAATGCACTGTTGGCATTACAAAAGTAAGAAATTCTTAAAATATTTCCTGGTGAACATGATTGACAGGTGTAATAACCTTTATTTCGTCTTTGGGTTTTGATACTTTTTTGTATTTGGATGCATTACAAGTTATTATTTCGGCCAAGATGTTACTGTTGAAGATGGTGAGAATCACTGTCTTTTACAACAAACTTCATTGCTTAAAAAAAATTATTCCAACAGGGGCAGCAAAACTCTATGCCTATTGGATTGTGGTGAACTTCCGTGAGGCGTATAATCTCTTTGCAGTGAACGGCATTCTCTTCAATCATGAGAGTCCCAGAAGAGGTCAGTAAATATATTAACTGAAAAGAGAATTTCAGACTTGAACAACAACAACAAGTTGCATGTCTATTTGGTGTATGTACTACAGAGACTGAAAAATTTCCTATCTGTATCTAATTATGATGAATGTCAGAGCAGCAAATGAAGAAATGTATACCCAGCCTTAGTTTTTTGTAATTTTATTTTGAGTTTGTGGGATTTTAAATTTTAACATTAAAAACTGGACAGTGTTCCAGTTTTACCATTTTAATTAGTAGATCTTATCAAGCTTGTTTTCAACCTGAGTATTAGGAAGCTACTATATGAATGCAAAGGAATAAGTAGTAAACTAATGATTGTTTTTAGAAATTACTCCTATTCAAATAGACTCAATCTGTAGGATCTATGTTATTTTTTGACTTTGAATGGTTAGATATTTGGTATTCTTTCTTTACATTTCATTAAATAGACGTCCAGAAATTACTATGCTTCTAAATTATTTTAAAATAAAGTTGAAATCAGTTTTTTAACAAGATTTTAAAAAATTGACACATTTTTATGGAGTACATAGTAATGTTTTGAAACAATGTGTAGTGATCAAATCAGAGTAATTAGCATATCTGTCACCTCAGACATTTATTGTATGTTTGTGTTAGGAACATTTAAAAACCTCTTTTCTAGCTAATTGAGAAATACTTAATATGATAAACTATAGAGCACTCCACAGAACACTAGAATTTAATGTGTCTGTCTAGCTATAATTTTATATTCTTTAAGAAATCTCCCCTTATTCCCCACTCCCTTGAAGTCAGCTCTTAATTTAGAAGTATTATCAGGTATTTTTGGAAAACTGTATTTGTTTGTATTGGCTTGTTGCCTTTTCAGAGTTGTTGATGAGACTGTAGCAACGTGCTAGTTCTCTTGTTCCCAGTATTAAGTTTTAAGTAAGAAAATGTGTACCCCCATCATTACTTCTGATTTACTGAAGCATGAGAAAGCTTTACAAAGCATGCACATGCTTTACAAAGTAAAAATTATCTGTAAGCCTTCCAAGAAGTTTTATTAAATTTCGCTATCATTTAGATTTTTAGTCTGAGAATAAACGTGAAGTCCAATGTTATAAGTTGTTTCATGACCAACAACTAGTAAGCATATAATTTTTCCGTGAAATTTTATGTGACTATATAGCTGCCTAATTACACCAACAAGTCATGAAGAAAGATTAAAGCGACAGGTTTATAAATGAATCTTTAGCGTCAGTACATTTTTATTTTATAATTGCTTAAGTTAAAAATTCCCATGATGGGCTGTTAAAGCATAAGAACCTAGCCTGTCATCACATTGCCTGAAAGGAAAACAAATTCACAAGCAGTGAGAAACATTTCTTTAATGAATTTTGTGGTCCTGGGTGCCAGCGGTAAGGGAGAAAGGAAAAGGAAGATCCTAGCTGTGGTTGCCTGCAGCATGTGGTATGAGGGCGCCCACAGAGTCTGCTCAGTCGTGGTAATCCCTGCCTCTTTCTCACAAACATGTTCATACACATTGTTTGGGTTTCTGTGTTCTTCCTCCCTCAACTTTTCCACCTGCAAAAAAAAAATAAAAGTTAATTGTTGTGAATCAGGTCAGGATAGGGAAAAACATTCCTGGGTTGCAAAGTAAAAAAAGATAAATTTGAATATAACTCCCCCTAATTCTCTCTTTGTGTACCTCCTAATGAGAACTTATTTTTTGTCTTTGTAGATGTTAACCACTAACTAAAAAAAAAAAAAAAAAAACATATTTTAAGGCCAGGCACAGTGCCCCACATCTGTAATCCCAGAACTCTGGGAAGCTAAGTTCGGGGGATCACTTGAGCCCAGGAGTTTGGGACCAGCCTGGGCAACATAGTAAGATCCTGTCTCTCAAAAAAATAAAAAACGAATCAGCCAGGTGTGGTCATGGGTGCCTGAAGTCCTAGCTACTCGGGAAGCTGAGTTGGGAAGATTCTTTGAGCCCAGGAGTTCGAGGCTGCAGTGGGTTATAATTGTGCCACTGCACTCTAGCCTGGGCAACATAGTGAGACCCCTGTCTCTAAAAAAATTGTTTTAAAGTAATAAAAAATGTTCTAAAAGTAACACGTCTTCATTTAAAATAAAATTTTAAAGTAAAAGTTCCCACCCTCGTGATAACTGCCAGCCCTATCCTCAGACCCACTGTTAACATTCCTTCAGAAAAGTTCTCTCTTTAAACATACAAAGAGGGTTCTGCTCTACATATTGTTCTGCAGCGTCAGGCTTCTATTAAATCTCTTTAGGAACTTGACCTCAACTGTAGCATACACCATTTTGTTTTGTTTTATTATATGCCTGGAAATCAGTGGTACCACATTTTTAACTATATGATCAAATAATGAGAAAAAGAGATGTACGTGAAAATGATATTAATACTTTGATATGTAATGCCTACTATTTACAGCATTTCTTAAAACTTGATCATTAATTTTCAGATTAAATTAATCTGACAGTAATGTTGTTTTCCAAGGAGATTTCTTTCCCAGACTGAAAATTCCATAATGGCAGGACTGTGTTGTATTCATACATCTCCAGCTTCCAGGCAATGCCTAATTGCTAATAAGCATTCAGTAAATATTTTTAAATGAATGAATAAGTTAATATCTCATGTTTCAGGAACAGCTTACTGACTTGAAAGCTAGGTGGTCTGAATTACAGAAAAGTAGAAATTATATCGATATTTATAAATATATACATATTGTTGATTTTACTCATATAGTAATTAAAGCTAATAAATGGGCCGGGCGCGATGGCTCATGCCTGTAATTCCAGCACTTTGGGAGGCCGAGGCAGGTGAATCACTTAAGGTCAGGAGTTTGAGACCAGCCTGGCCAACATGGTGAAACCCCGTCTCTACTAAAAATACAAAAAATTAGCTGAGTGTGGTGGTGGGTGCCTGTAATCCCAGCTACTCGGGAGGCTGAGGCAGGAGAATGGTGTGAACCCAGGAGGCAGAGGTTGCAATGAGCCGAGATTGTGCCAGCCCAGGCGACAGTGCGAGACTCCATCTCAAAAAAAAAAAAGCTAATAAATGATTTTGAAGTAAAGATTCAATCTGATATACATTAATAAACAGATAAAATTTGTTTTTTGTTAATAATCTTTGTAAACCTAGAATTTCCTGTGGTACTTTAAGTGAGTTTATTTTCTTAAGTTGGTTGAACATTTACTCATCAGTCTTCTTGTTCCCTGTTATTACAGGGAACAAACCCTTTTTTTTCTACATGGTGTAGAAAAACCTTGGTAAACCTCAATCTAGTCCTAGGTATCCAGTCACCCATGCTGAATTTGTAGAGCCCAAGTTGATGCAGTTTTTGGGGGCCATATACTTTTTCTCTAACAAAGTGTAATTGTCAAAGGTGCCCTCTCACTGCATGAATAACATTTCATGAGAATTTCTGACTTTCAAAAGTGGGGAAAAGTATTTTTTAATCTAACAATAGGCTAAACCAGAAGTTGACAATCTAGGACTCATGGGCCAAATCTGGCCTACCAGCATAGTTTTGAAAATAAAGTTTTATTGTAACACAGGCAGATGCACTTGTTTATATATCATCTATGGCTGCTTTCATCTATGGAGTCTTGTAGTGTGCAGAGCCTAAAATATTTGTTGTCTGGGCCTCTAAGAAAACATTTGCTGGCCCCAGCTGTAGACAGATCCTCAACATTCGAGAAAACTTTCACTTGGGTTGATTGTGGGTTTCTCCTATGGTAGCAAGGTAGTCTTTTAGAAAGATTTCCTATAAATGTTAAAGAGCATAGTGAGCCAGTCCTTAAGCAGAATTCTGAAGTGCTTTGGCAGGTTGGGGTTCTGTTGTACTTCACTGCTGTATGCAGGTAACCAAGTGCTCCAAAGGATCAAGCACTATGACCAAGTGCTCTAAAGGAAAGCTAGTTGTCAGTGATGTATGAAACCAAATAAGCTAGTAACTGATGATATACATGTAGCATAGTTTGTCCAACAACCACAACTCCTGAGCTTGGACACGTGCTCATTACGGTTTTGACTGCCTTCTGTGTCTTTTCTCCATCCCAACCATTTTTGGTTTTCTTTCTTTTTCTTTTTTTTTTTTGAAGACTTCATTTATTTATTTAGGTTTTCTTTCTAAATATATTTGTTTTGAGAACCGTGTAATACATCTAGAGATGTAAGAATCACCTATGCTAGCATCAGATCAACAGTTGGAAATCACTGATTTAGGGAATAGAGCCAATAATCTGCGACTTTGCATCCCTCAGTCAGCCTTCCAGTCACTCCGTTGGTGAAAGCAAGAGGGTGGATGGCACTTGTGCTATAGACTTGCTTCTTATGAAATGGGAGCACTTTAGTAATATTTACTACAAATTAATAAGAATAACAGAATTTTAGAATTAAATGTCTATAAGTCATGAAAATGTATATAGTAGTATATGTTTTATGAATAACTATTACTATGTATTATATACTGATATTCACAGACATTAACCAGGTGCTTTCTTTCATATGTACTCAGTTTTTTAAAATAAAAAAGTAGGCAATCATAACCTGCATAACAAATTTTGGTAAATGATGGACTGCAGTGGTCCCATAAGATTATCATACTGTATTATAATTAAAAAGTCACATTTTTACTGTACTTTTTCTGTTTGGGTACACTTAAATACACGAGTTTAGGCATATGTTATTTTATTGCTTCGTAGATATTGCTTTTTTCTTCTTTTCATACTGAAGGTGTGTGGCAACCCTGCATTAAGCAAATCTGTAGGTACTATTTTTTCAGGTGTTCACCTCCTGTCTCTGTGTCGCATTTTGAGAATTCTCCTAATATTTCAAACTTCTGATTATTATTATATCTGTTACGGTGATCTGTGATCAGTGATCTTTGGTTTTGCTGTTGTGATTGTTTTCAGGCACCATGAACTGCACCCATAAAAGACAGTGAATTTAATCCGTAAATATTGTGTGTGTTCTGGCTGCTCCACCAACTGGCCATTACCACCCCCTGCCACCGCCGCCCCGTTCCCTGAGACACAACAATATTGAAATTAGGCCACTTAATAGCCCTCCATTGGCCTCCAAGTGGAGGAAGTAGTTGCAGATGTGGGGGAAATAGCAAGAGAGCTAGAATTAAAAGTAGAATCTGAAGATGTGACTGCTTTTATCGTGTGCAATCTCATAATAAAGTTTTCACTGATGAGGAGCTGCTTCTTATGGATCAACAAAGAATGTATTTTCTTAAGATGGAATCTATTCCTGGTGAAGATGCTGTGAATGTTGTCAAAATAACAAAAGAAGGGTTTATAATACTACATAGGTTTAGTTGTTAAAGCAGCAGCAGGGTTTGAGAGATTGACTCCAATTCTGAAACAAATTCTACTGCGGGTAAATGCTGTTACACAGCACTGGATGCTACAGAGAAATCTTTCCTGAAAGGAAGAGTCAGTGATTGCAGCAGACTTCATTGTTGTCTTATTGTAAGAAATGGCCACAGCCGCTCCAGCCTTTAGCAACCACCATCCTGATCAGTTAGCAGCCATCGACACTGAGGCAAGCCCTCTACCAGCAAAAGGCACAGATGGTCATTAACGGTTTTCAGTGATAAAGTAATTTTTAGTTAAGGTTGTACAGGGCTTTTAAAAACATACTATTATTACACACTTAATAAACTGCTTTTTCCTTTTGTATTGTTTCTTCAAACCTGAAATTGTGTATCTCCCTGGCTGTTCCATTACATATCTTTATTTTTATATTTACATACATACAGTATTCTTTTTGCCACAAATGTGGATATAATGATAGCTTTCTACTGGAAATACAGCTTCACATTATCTGTAATAGAGAATAGACTCTCTAGGGAAAAAGGTTTTGTTTATTATCTCAAACTGTTTAATATCTATGAGGAAATAGACATGTACAAAAATTTTCTTGCCTTATTACATTTCTTTGAAAAACTAAACAATCAGACTTGTCATAAAGATATTAATTATTATATAAGTTGTGAACTATGGGGAAAATATTGAGAGGTTTTTTTAATTATTTAAAAATAGTTCATAAATAAGTATATTAGTTTCTTTTCAAATATGTTATTTACCAGTAATAAAATCTACTCTTAAAGATTATGCTATAAATTGGAACATGGGAAGCAAGCCTATTTAGTAAAGCTAACAATATTTCTAGTTTTGACTGTTTATTACATTAGGAGGTAAATAAGAAGAATAACTACTGTTCATCACATATGTAATGTAACCAGTTGGGGCTAATTATGTCTTAATTCTTAACATTGGCAGAGTACTTTGGCATGCCATAAATACAAATATGGTGACCTTTACAAAACTATAAATAACACTAATATGAGTGTATTCTAAATTAAGAAAAAACATTTTGCATGATAATTAAGAGGGAACAAAAAATACATTCTACCTTCTACTTTTGGAAGGTTAAAAAATTTAATGATTAGATTATCCCTGATTTCCTAATTTTGATGACAGTAGCTATTGTGAATAAAGGGTGAAACACACATAATATTCAGCATTCTTTTTTTTTAAATGTGATTTTTCAGTTTTCAGTATGAGTGTAGAATTAGCCGCTTTGATTTCCTACACTAAGAACAGCAGCCTCGGTTTCTGTGAGACTTCCTAGGGTCCACGTCCTGGAGGAGAAAGCCCTGACCCAGGGGTGTGACGGAGAAAGTTGTTCTGTGCTGCCGGCTGTTGGCAGGCCTGCCTCTCATACCCAGCAGCCCTTTGCTTTCCGCAGGAGATCAGTTGAAGATTTCCGTCTTTCGATGAGGATATTTTTCTTATGTTGACTCATTTTAGTCTTTCGATCATTAGGAAAGTTTGGGCAATGTAGTAACCTCTACTTCCAGGACTGACTGAGGAGGTGATGTTTGGTTACATGAGCCTACCTCGTGGGCCGTTGGTTACCAGCCGTGAGTCACTCATAGGGATTGGCTTCATCCCTGGATACCTTTAGCCTGAGTAAGAAATCACGTTCCCTGTTGACAGCGTATTTCTTCCATTCTCCTCCCACTCTTTCTTCTCTCAGTGTTTAAGAATGGGACATTTACTCAGTCTGGGTAAAGCATTCTCTCTCCCTGTGGATCTTCTTTTCTCTTCCTTTCCATATTTGCCTAACGCCTAACTGAGCCTCTCTTCTACTTGCCATATGTAACTTTGCTCCTCTGTCTCTGACCATGGGGCCTTGCAACAGATCCATCACTACCTTCTTCCCCCAGGAGCGCTTCCGTTGCTAAACTGTCTGTTCAGAATTTCATGAGATCCTAGTAAATACTTCCAGAAAGCTGGTTTATTTTGTATTTCATTCTGAGTCACGAAGAACTTTTTTTAATCATCTCCCAGCTGAGGAATCAGAGGGGTTTGGCTATCATCATCATCATCATCCTTACTGTGAAAAATGCACGCTCATTAGCTCTTCGTGTTGCGTTTGACATAGTGATTTAATACTCCACAGGTACTTTCAGAGACATTTTGACTAACTTGTTTAACTTACAAATTTTTTATCTGTATGTGGAAATGAAATTCATGTGTACTTCTATTTTTCTCTATTTTTTAATTTTAAAAATGTGTATTAAGCCATTAGATACTATTTTTTCCTTGAAAGAGCTTCTAGGGAGCAGCCAGTTAACATCCACCTGTAGGTATTCTCCCAAAATACCCTCAGAATTTGTGAAATAGGAATTTAAAGCTTCTTTCATCTCCCTTTTTTCAGCAATGAGGAAACAGAAGCAGCATGAGATTGAGTTGTCCAAGGTCGTGAAGCCAATAAATGCTAACACGGAGACCAGAAATAATCCTAGGAGAAGTCATGTAAATATTGTACATATTTGTGGAAATAACATATATACGAATTTTAGAGTTGAACTTGAGCAAAGAAACCCCTGTGACACTGAGTGGGCCACCTCAGCTTGGCAGTGAAGCAAGTGGACAAGTTGGAAACGGAATGTCTCAGCTGCTCTTATCTTTGTAAAAGACCATTAGTTTGCTTAAAGGCAATATTCCTTTAAGATGTTTGACAGAAATAATTACAATAAACATAGTTTTATAATATTAGAATATAAATGTGATATGAAATAAATAACTTCTCTTGCCTGTTATCAAGAAGTTGGTAATAGGAAGAACTAATATAAAAGACATTAAAAATCAGGCCGGGCATGGTGGTCATGCTTGTAATTCCAGCACTTTGGGAGGCTAAGACAGGAGGATAACTTGAGGCCAGGAGTTGTAGACCAGCCTGAGCAATATAGTGAAACCTCATCCCTACCACAAAATAAAAAATAAAACATTAAAAATCATGTGGCAATGGGAAGCTATAAAGTACTTTAAATATACCCATAATTAACCGTGTGAGATTGCCACAAATGGATGGTGTACTAGCACTGTTTAGATACTGAGCCATTTCTAGATGAGATAGGACATTCCTTTAAATATGGGCTTCATAAGAAATCATATACATCAGTCTAAACACAGTATTCACCTGACTGAAAGAATCTGGCATTTTTAAGGTTCATGAACTTGTGGTTTTGAGTTTTCGTCTTGAGCATTTTTTTAGCTGCCAAGTACTTTGCTTTATAAAATGTCTGACTGTATTTATCTTTATAAATTAATCTTCAGAATTTTTAAAATAATTCATGTAAAAATTACTTGTCAAAATTTAAGTAAAATTTGGGGTAATTTTCCTTTTGATTTGTTTTTTAAAGATTGTCTTTATTTGTTGCTGTAAAGATAAGATTAATGCTCTAGAATAGTGGTTCTCAACTAGGGGTGGGGAATGGGGAGAGAGTGGCTCTTTCCTCCAGAGGACGTCTGGCAGTGTCTGGAGATATTTTTCTTGTCCCAACGGAGGAGGGGGCTACTATTGGTGTCTGGTAGGTAGAGGCCAGGGATGCTGCTGAACATCCTACAGTGCACGGGATGGCTCTATAACAAACGCCTGTCCTGTCCAGATGGTTCATAGTGGTGTGCACGGGATGGCTCTATAACAAACGCCTGTCCTGTCCAGATGGTTCATGGTGGTGAGGATAAGAAACTCTGCCCTAGGATGTCATCCTTCCAAATGTGCTTGCAGAATCTGTGTGAATGCCACCTGTAACAGATGAGATGAATGCCATCTCATTTTTCGTTACACTTCAGTTTTACTTTACAGTAAATTCTTCATAGAACAACAGTAGGGTCTCATTTTTCTTTAGGTATCACTTTCACTTTACAGTAAATTCTTCATAGAACTTTAGCAAACATTTACGTGAACACCAAAGAAAACATTCGGATTCAAATAGCTCCAGGGCCTTAAGTATTATGGTCTGCTGCAGGTCAGACCCAACTCAAACCCAGGACTCTTCTAATCATTGGAGGCTGAACCCTCACCTCAGTGACCCACTGATTCACGAGCCAAGTCAAGATGGGTTTGGGACCCTCCCAAGCCTCCAAAATCAATGAACATGTTTACTTTTTGTTATTAGTTATAAGAATAACACATTTTTCATTTGAGAATAAGTTGTAGAGTCCATGATCTGGCTTTGATATAAAACAACAGTTAGAACTGATTCAAGATTATCTTTCAATGCATAGGATTATACTAATATTAGTGTGAAGGGTTCACTGCATATGAGAATTTTCCTTTAAAACTATTAGAATTCATAGATGTTTTAGTGCTTTAGGGAATAATATAATGCATGATAGAAATTAGGTAACTGGGACTTGTTTTCAGTTAATCACAATAGGCAGAAAACACTTTCTCTCTGTGTAAATACTACATATAACATGTCTAAATAAAATAATCTTTAAAAAATTACTGAATATTGGCCAGTTTGGCAAATTCAAATCATGCACTGTAGAAGTATCAAACAGGCAAACCAATAGCAAATACCTTAATATTTTGTTTGTATTTCTAGCTATAAAAGGTGCTTTGTGGCTTTTGTAGATGAGCATCAGAGACTTAATTTATTGCAAAAAATTTTAGCAGCCCATTGTGAAATCAGGGGATGAAGTAATCTCCTGTTGGAGTTCAGTAGAGCATTATAGGTTTTACACAATACCATTTGTCTGTCCATAAATGGTTAGATTGTTGGCCGCTACTCTTGGACCCACCAGGTTCTGGGTAGCCTTTCTGGTTGGGGCACAAAGTGACATCATCTGGTTTACCATTGCATTTGTAGACTATGATACTTCATAGATGACATGTACACTTGGCGATCACAAAGCTGTCTGGCCCATGTTATTCTTTGTGGAGAGATGAGGTGTAATTGCTTAAACATAAAAGACTTTTGAAGCAATACTTGGTCTAATGCAGGTGCTGATTACCACCAAACAAAATGAAATCCCTCCCATCTCCTGAGGTGAGATTTCTGGAATTGTTAAATTGAATTCAAGGGGTTGTTTTTCAGTGTTTTGTAATGTCTGTGACATTTATGTTTGAAACCAAACTGATAACTGTCTGATGACATGTAGCACAGTTCCCTGCAATATAGCCACGCAGTATATATACACAGAGAATTTGGCCACTCATCATCAGCTGTGTGCATTTGGGCACGTCACTTACTCAGATCTCAGTTTCTGCATCTGCACATGGAGAGGTTAATAACGCCCACCTGATGGAGCAAAGTGCAGCTCTGTCATTTCAGCTCACTGTGAAGGTGATGGGGAAAACTTACAGGGAAAAGATTAATACAGTGCATAGTAGATTTTGAAGATTTATTTCATATTTCCTTTCTCTTTTCTTCCCTGTTCCTGTATTTTCAATGCTGAAAGCTAGAGAATTAGTTTTTTTACTCCTTCCCTTCCAAAGTGAAAGACCCTGTTGGAGGCAGCTCTGTTAGTGGGATTGCTGTGGCTACTGGCATAAGAGGACAGTGAGAAATGTGAACGCTGCAGTGCCAGCCAACAGAAGATGGTCCTGAACCAAAAGCCAAGAATCTTTCAGTGGTGTTGACAGATAAAACAGAGTAGTTCGGCGAGACACCCGTGAATTGCAAAAAAATAAAATGTAAGTAGTATTGAAGAATTGCTGGAATCACAGGAAAAGCCATTCAAAACGAGATTTTGGCAGGTAAACCAGTTAACATTTGAATTAGGAAAGTCAAGAAAAGACGATGATGAATGAAAGGCTTATGGATAAATATCAAGGACGTGTGAAAGATTCTTAAGAAAATTAGTGAAACTGTCAAGTATTTTTTTTTTAATAGAGACACAGCCTCACTGTGTTGTACAGTGCTCAGGCTGGAGTACAGCGGTGATCATAGTTCACTGCAGCCTCGGACTCCTGGGCTCGAGAGATCCTCCTGCCATTGCCTCCTGAGCAGCTGGGTCGACAGGTGTACACTACCACACCAGGCTAATTTTTTCAAGTATTTTTTTAAGTGATACATGTATTTTTTTAATGGTCCTGTAAAAATCTTACATGAAATGTATATGGTTGTGTCAATTACAAGAAGAAAACCTTACTTTACTTTGTGACTAGACTAACAAAAATTACATAGATGCAGTTGTAATTTAAATTTTGTTAATTGTAAGTGGAAATTTTTCTTCAAAATAACATTCTTAAGTTTTTGAAATTTAGTTTGAGTCAAAACTTTCTTTTCCACTATTTGTTATGGAATATTGTTCCCCTTTTTAAGTGGTTCACGTAAGGATATAGAAGTGTTCAACTACTTGGACTCAGTCTAGGTTCTACTACATACTAGAACAACTCTGGCCAGTTTCTCAATCTCTCTGAGTCTCAGTTTTCTCATCTCTAAAATGGGGTAATCATAGTGTTCACTTAAGGTTGTTATAAGCATTAAAGGAAATCGTGGAAGTGAAGTTATTAGCACGTCATTATTATTACCATCACTGCTGCTAATGTCCCACCTAGAGAAGTAAGCTCAGTTTGTGCCACCTCGCAACTTAAAATTAATAAACAGAAGGAATAAAGGGGAAAATGCATAAAGGAACATATGACTTTGTTTTCTCTGAACAAGTTAAAAAAGTTAAGGTTTCAGAGCTTAGTAAGTGATAAGTAAAGTAGGTAAGATCTGGTAAAGTAACTTGTGGGATATTGAATATTAAATGCTAGAAGAATAATGGTCTTTGCTTCTGTTGTTTATGGGCTAATTCCCAGATATTGTTATTAGATGTTTCTGGTGTGGACAAACTCTAATGATTCCTAGAGTAAAAAATTCCCAGATTAAGCCAGATTTTATGTTTCAGAAGGTTTGCGTCTGCCTTCTATTTCTGTTGGTAAGTTTAAGATTCCTGAAAGGCTGCTAAAGCAGGATGTACGTGAGGATAACCAGCCCATGAGGGTATGCAAGTAAGGAAGTGAACATCAGTGCGGTCACAGAGAAACCCTCCTGGCAGCAAGAAAGGTGGGTTTTCAGCACAATTGTATCAGAGGAATAAGGGAGGCCCTAATGCCCACACAGTGTAAAGAAGGCTTGGTAGAGGTACCCAGGAAAGAGCTCAACCCTGGCCCCAGTGCCTCTTATGACCCTAACAGTTAATTTGTACATAAGAAATAAACCTTGTTTTAAGGAGGATGAAGGTGTTTCTCAGAGGAACACTGATAAATGTTTTTTGAGGAAGACAAAATAGGTTGGTGAGAACCTTAGTACCAGCATATCCCCATTCTGGCTGGCAGACGACTGTGTGGTCCCAAGTTCACAGAGAACATTTAATTGGGAGTGCTGGACATTGAGGAATGTTTCATAAATCTGCAAGCACAGGGAAATATTTCCCTATAGGAAGCAAATATTAAGACAGGGAACTGAAAATATAGGAAAAGAAGTTCATCTACTCTTCTACTCCCAGCACTAAAATGAGCTAATATACCATATGCGAAAAATGATCTATCTACTTCTTTCCAAAAAATGTGCAGAACTCGCTAGACACCATTGAATTCTGCTATATTAATTAAGATTGATGGTTATTAAAATGAAATCGCTTTTCTGAGCCAGATTTGGGGGATGGGGATTGCAATAGTTGAGTGCTCCTTGTGAAACATGCCTAGAGAGCTTCTTGGCACTCCTGCCCAAAGGAGGGCTGCCAGCACATGCCCACTGGTAGCTATTGTGCCCATTCACTTTGAGTCTTGGTGCAGGGGCTGTACCTGACACACGCTCCTCCTTTTCTGCAGCCAAGGGCTGAGCATGCCCTGTGATCACTTCCTGGAAAGCCTTCCGTACCTGCTTGATGTTTTCAGCATATCCCCCTTTCTTTGGCTGAATTCTAAGTGCATCTGATACTGGAATTTTTAAACACAAATTCTTATTGAGAAGTGTAAAGTGCTCTTGAGCTAATATATTAGAATTTTGAAAAGTTTCAACTTACGGGACTGTTAGTGATGTTAGTAATGATAATGATAGCATAGCAGGTAACACTTATTTAGTTCTGACCATGTGCCAGATGCTCTGTCACTCATCTCTTTTAATCCCCATAATAAAACGATGAAGTAGTTGTAGTTATATCCATTTTACAGGTAAGGTGACAGGAGTTTAGAGAAGTGAAATTACTTTCCCATAGTAGTGAAGGATATAGGATTTGGACTCATGTGGTTTGACCCTGGAACTGTGTGACTGTCCATTACCTTGTGCGGCTCCTTTGGTGGCCTGCCCCTTCCATCACATTTCATTGCCCCAGTGAGTATTTTTCCAGTTACATTAGCTGCCTTTCCTGGCCCTCTAGTTTTTCCTCAAGACCATTCTTCCTGTTTGACTTTTTGTTGCTTCTTTCCTTTCCTTATTTTTCATTTTAGGTTTGCTAAATTCTAAATTTAATTAGTGAGAAAAGGAAGTGATGAAGTAAAATATGGAAGCAAATCTTTCACCTGAAATTTTGCCACATGGGTGACATAGAAACTGGGACTAAACTGTTAAGCTGTCTTGTAACTCAGTCTATTAACTTTAAAAAAAACTGTTTCATGGTGTTTAGTTTATAGACACTATCCTGGGAATACCATGTCAGGGATACTGCTGAATGACAGATACCTTCGGTTTTAGAATTATTTGTAGTTTACATGTTTTACATGGTTGTTAAGTCCGCTTTTCTGTGATTCTCTTCACAGTATTTGTTCCTGAGTGATTTGAAGAATGTTGGGGATTTTTGTTGGTGGTGTTTGTTGTTTAGAAAACAGGGTTTCACGATGTTTCCCAAGCTGAAATCTAACTCCTAGGCTTAAGCAATCTTCCTGCCTCAGCCTCCCGAGTGGCTGGATCTACGGGTGCAGGCCATGACCCCAGGCGTGAAGAATATTGGGTTCACAGACATTACTGTCATGCAAATCTATCAAGGGCCTCTGTAACCGTATGTGCATACTCTAAATTTCAAGCCAACCCGACTATAACCAACCACAAGAAAAAAAAGTGTGAAACTTTATCTCCTTGCGTATTATGGTCTGTTGTCAGTATGTGTTAAAAACATCTCATCTAGTACTGACCAAATGCTTTTTTTGCTCATTACCTAATTTCCAGAAAGTGTACCTTGGGCCACACTCCTGTTGCCACACAGGCTCAGTCTCTGCTGCTGCTCTGGTGAGCTTGAGAGGCACGCTATTGCCTCCTGCATGCCCATTCATCTCATTAGGCTTGTGGCTGAGAACCCCACAGTTATAAAGAACCTCAAAAAGTTATAGATATGATTCAAGCAGAGAGGCTAAGTCACTAGTAAGAAAGCCATAATTTCTCTTCCTTGCATTTTTCATTCCTTAGTATTACTTTATATTGTATGTCGACAACTAAGACAGTGTTTTCTGACTGGCACACAATTCTTAGAAGTCATCCTTTATTTCTAATTGTGCTTGTTCTTGGAGTCTGACCCTTCTTGAAAAACTGCTTGAAGTCCAAATCAATAATTAGCAATAGTTATTACAGAGGAGGCAATGTTACTTATTTTCCTTGGGTGAATAAGTATCTTTTGTATGTATTTGTTTTCAGGGTATTGCCTATATTTACTTTTCTGTGACAGAAGAGAATAACAGAAACTGTCATTAGAGCCAACTAAGATTCTTGTGGAAGGAGACATGATTGCATCATTTTATGGACATTTATCTTGTCCCAATTTTCTATCAGATCAAGAATTTGAATCAAAGGTCTTTTGAAGATTTCGTTACTTTGCAGTCTTTATGCTGGGTGGCTATAAGCCAATACTATTTTTGTTAAGTTACTTCGAACGTGAAATTTTTTTTTTTTTTTTTTTTTTTTTGAGACGGAGTCTCGCTCTGTCACCCAGGCTGGAGTGCAGTGGCACGATCTCGGCTCACTGCAAGCTCCGCTTCCTGGGTTCACGCCATTCTCCTGCCTCAGCCTCCCGAGTAGCTGGGACTACAGGCGCCCGCCACCACGCCTGGCTAATATATATATATTTTTTTAGACGCAATCTGGCTCTGTCGCCCAGGCTAGCGTGCAGTGGCGCCATCTCGGCTCACTGCAAGCTCTGCCTCCCAGATTCACGCCATTCTCCTGCCTCAGCCTCCCGAGCAGCTGGGACTACAGGCGCCCGCCACCACGCCTGTCTAATTTTTGTATTTTTAGTAGAGACGGGGTTTCACTGTGTTAGCCAGGATGGTCTCGAACTCCTGATCTCGTGATCCGTCCGCCTCGGCCTCCCAAGGTGCTGGGATTACAGGCATGAGCCCCAACGCCCAGCTGAGTGTGAAATTTTAGGAAGTGGCTCTGCCTTACTTCTTAAATGTCACTACACTTCCGAGTCGAGATGGGAGCTAAAGAGAAATTGTAATCCAAGAGGTTTCAGTATGAGTGTCCTCAAACAGAAGTATGAACATTATCCTTCTGTGAAATAGCTCTATCAATTCTGAAGTAAAGCCCAAACATGATGTGGAACGATGTGGGATAAGTCATTTTTAATGCAAATAAGTCATTTCTGCAAAAAGGAGTTGATTTCAGAAGATGATATACATATCTCTATATTGTTCCAGTGTTTTTCATTCTTACATAGACTGAATATATTGAATTTGATACTCTCTCTGTCACAACAGAAAGTTTTTATCCTTCTCACATCCCTCCTCTATTTGCTACAGCTCTGATTATAGAGGTAAAAGTGTATACAGAGGTCCCTACAAACATGAAGGCAGAGAAGAACCCTAATACGTGTCAGAAGAGAGACAAGCTGCCTAGTGTGACCAGATAATTTCTTTGTTCTGAACTGGCATCTGTGGTATTACCTTTATTCTTATTAGTATGCAAGTCCTTGAAAAATAAATGTATCAGTGGAAGCATTTAATCATTCCTGAGACTCTGGAATTATGGCAGAAGCAATAAGAGAATCAGGTTCATTATGTCCTACATGTGTAAATGTAAAGATACCTTCCTGTTTAAACTGTGGAATAGCCCTGCTCCCCTCCCTCTCCCTGCAGAAAATGTTGATTGAACACCTATCATGTGTTATATACTGTGTTAGACACTGGCGAGACACTAGAGAGACAGAATAGAATGCTTGTCTTTAAGAAGCTCACAGTTGAGGTGAGTAAACTGAAGATTGCAGTGGAGTGTAATGAGAGCAGGTAGCTTGTGCAAGGGTGATGGAGGAGCACAGAAGAGGGACAGCCCCCACCAGGGGAGGAGTCAGGAAACCCTTCCACTGAGATGACACTTGGAGTGCCAGGCAGTTGGGAACTAGCTGTGGATACAGATGTTTCTCAGAGAAGGGGCCGTCCAGAGAAGGAGAAGACACCTGTGCATGCTGGGGGGTCTGCACACAGTAGGATGTCACTGGAGAGAGCTGTGAGGGGGACAGGGCAGGAGGAGATGCTGGGGACGGGGCCGGTGACAGGGCACACAGGAGCTTCCGGCCCATAGGCAGTTTATAGCCATTGAAGAAAGAGGCTTGTGGTTGCATTTGCATTTGGAAGTCATGAGTTTTCAGGACAGGTGCAGAGCAGGAAGAGAGTCAGGGCAAAGAGAGTACCTGGTAGCAGTGACAGCAATCCAGTAAAGAAAATGATAAGGGCCTGGGCCAGATGGAATTATTCGCTGAGTTTGTGCTTGTGCGTCTATCAGGACTCTGGCTTTAGAAATGGCAAAAAGCGAACCTCACGCTAAGCTTAAGTGAAATAATTGAAGATAGCGCTGTATGGGTGTTACCCAAGTATGGGAATGGCAGGAACGTCCGATTTCAGGGACAGCTGGAACCAGTAACTCAGATATCTTCAGGATTCTCCCTTTTTATCTTCTGTCTCCATTTTTCTTTCTGTCTTGGCCTCATCTTTTCAGTCCAGTTTTTTCTATGAAACTAGAACTAGGATCACTGCCCCTTTCAGTCTTGCCACTTGGAGGAAAACTGTTTTCTCTTTCAACTCCATCTGGAATGGCCTGGGGTAGGGCCTTGGTCAGGTTTCCACTCCCTCAACCAGTCCCAGTAGCCAGTGAGTGGTGCTTTGGGCCAGCTTGGGCCAGGATCTTACCTTGAATAAATCAGTGCAGTCAGGATGGCAGGGTTAGGCTACTCCCATTAGAACCATGTGAAGTAGGAAAGAGCACCAAAGCATGCTTTGGGGAATCTGCATTGAGCAGCCACCTCATTTGTGGCCTACTAGAGGCTGGGATGGGGAATTATTTAGGACTGCTGAAGAAACAGACTCAGAAGGACTTGATGAGCAGTTGACTAATGGAAGAGTGAGAAAGGAATCAAAGAGGACTCCCGGGCTACTGGGTGCAGGGTGAGACCATTCACCATGCAGGGCCATCCAGAAAGTTGTGTTAGCTTGGGGTAAAAGGAGAAGCGAACTAGAGTTAATGGTAATGTCTCCTGAGGTGAACAGGAGGAAGATCCGACCAGGAAGTTGCAGGTCATCATGACCAGGCAGCACGAGCTTAGCTCTCGCTGGAGAGCGCAGTCAGCATAGGTGTGCGAAGGTTCTCCCTCCGACTCAGTTCACGGCGTAGGAGCAGAGACAGTGGGAGAGGTGAGCGAGGCGGGGTTGAGTCGTGTAGTCAGGATGGGGTGTGTGTTTAAGATTTGAGCAGGAAGAAAAGTCCTCAGAACATCTGAACTCTGCCTTCCTGCGTTTGTGTTCTCCCTACCTGCTCTCCTGTGCCCTGGAGGAGCTGTCTGTCTGGAGCTCCTGTCTGCTACCACCTCCTTGAAGACTTGGCATCAGCAATTCTCACCTCTCTCCTGGATCAGTTTCTCCGTCATCACTAGGATCTTTCCCTCAGCATGCAAAGAGGCTGCTTTCATGCCCATCTTGAAGTGCAGTCCTCCCAGTCTCACCCCTTTCTCTCACTGACAGCAGAAGTTTTCAGAAGCTGTTTGTGCTCCTTGTCTACGAAATCTCACCCCCATTCTTTCTTGAGCCCTCTCCTTCCTTGGACTTTTGTCCACCTCTTTCAGAAGCTCTCCCATCAAGGTCACGTTTCTGTCTTTGTCCTTCTGACCTGCAGTCATGGTGATCACTCCCTCCTGGATACAGACTATCCAGACTGTTAGGATACTCCCGTGTCCTTGCTTCCCCTCACTGCTTCCTCCTCATCTGGCCTGTAAACATTATAGCATCAGTGTATTTGGTTCTCTGACCATTTATGTTTTGTTGCTAACATTCCTTTCTTGGTGGTCTCAGCTGGCCTCAGGACTTGAAATATCATCCATACATAAATAGTTCCCAAATGTGTGCCCTCAGCCTAGACCCTCGTTGGAAGGCCAGGCTTATAGATTCACTGCAGTGTTAAATGAAGACTCACCCTTGTCTCATCCTGATTTAAATATTTCATGTTTATTAGTTCCCCGATAGTTTTGTTAGTGTATCGAATGAATAGAGGTACTTAAAAGCTATACATTTTTTTTTTTATTTTGGGGATTTTGTCTTTGTGGGGTTGTTTTATTTGACTAAGGCCATGGTTCTCAACCAGGGCAGTTTTGTCCCCCCAGGGGGAAGTTGGCAACACCTGTGAACATAATTGAGGGGGTGCTCCTGGCATCTACTGGGTAAAGGCCAGTGACGCTCCTAAACACTGCAAAGCACAGCACAACCAGCAATAAAAAGGACTTATTCCTCCTTAAATGTCAATAGTACCAAACTGGAGAAAACCTGAAAGGAAGACTTACAAATTTGAATTATCTCACTGTCAGTGGAAAATGCATTGAACATTTGATACAAATAGCAAAGTAGTTTGAACATTTCTCTTTATACACATATTTTAAATAGTTGCCAAAAGGTGGTAGCTATCTCAGACAAATGCACATTGTGAATTGTCCTCTTTTAAGCCTGAGATTCCTTTAAACGTGCCTATTGGATTTTGAGTACCTGCAGTTAAATAGTGTTGCTCTTGGCAGGACTTAGTGAGCAAATGAGGTATGATCTCTCTGATCTCAGTCATCTGCTCAGTCAGCCATGACCTTCTCAGTGTCTCTTCTTTCCACACCCTGTCTCCACTGAGCCATGGCCCAGGCAGTTCACAGTGGGGTGGCCAGAGATTACCACAGGGGAAAAATGCAGGGCCCCAAGGCGGAGGTTCATGTGGGGTTCAGGATAAATTGGAATGATTTCTGTTTTCCAATGAATATTGTCCAAACTGTCATTGTACTTTATCTAACTCCAAAAAAATCTTTAAATCAAAAGCTTTTGGATGAAGTATTGAGCAATGGAATAGAATTTTTATTAGACAAATTTTGGTTACTTCAAGTACCATTTGGATATGGATGGATAATGTTTAGATATGTATGTATGCATGCATGCATGCACATATACAATCGTGTATCTGTAGACACACAAACAATAAAAATTGCCACAGGGCCATAGGAAATATACATTTGAAAAAGAAGTAATTTTGTATAGTGTGATAAGTAGAATTGTCCCTAGTAGGACTTAGTGAACCTCCTGTAGGGTTTCTTCCTTACGTCTACGGCATCATCAGAGGGTGTCAAAAAGAAGTAATTTTGTGTAGTGTGGTAAGTAGAACTGTCCCTAGTAGGACTTAGTGAACCTCCCATAGGGTTTCTTCCTTACGTCTACGGCATCATCAGAGGGCGCCCAAGGTTGCATTTTGTTTTTAAAAATAAATCTCTATTGAAGTAATACATTGTGGAAAAGATTGTGACCTAATATGCAATCAAATTCTTTAATAAATTGGCTATTATTCATGTCTTAAAGGCAATTCCATTGTTTTCAGTTTAATGCTGGCAATTTAAAGTGTGTTTTCCAAATTTTGTCAGTTTTTTTCCTTTAATGTTTGTTATAGAAGATAGAGATGTTATGTTGGTATGCTTTATAATATAATAGAAACTTTAACATGGACTCTGTGTGTGTGTATGTGTATATGTGTGTGTGTGTGTGTATATATATGTATATAGGTATATATATGTATATATATGTATATATGTGTATATATATGTGTGTGTATATATATATGCATGTGTGTATATGTATATCCTTGGGTCTTTAGGGAACACCCAGCCTCTTTAATCAGTAGATAGCAGTCAAGGGGAAGAGCAGAACCTTGTTAACCTGTGCATTCTGGAAGGGGATGAGCATCCCAGGTGTTAGTATCTCCTGGCCCCCAGGAGAAACAAACAGTGACTGTCTCAGGAGGAAGCCGTCATTTGCGTTGATGTCCTCTGGTCTCCAGCAAATTAAGGTTACTAAACATGAACTCTCACTAAATGCACAAGGAAAGAAACCACCATCAGTCAAAGTCAGCATAAATAACAAGTAATAAATAAGTCCCCCCAAAACTTCAGATACTGGAATTATCTAATTCAGAATATAAAATTACAAAAACATGTGTAAATAAAGATGTCAAATCAGAAAAAATAAGCAAGCAAGAACAGAATGTAAAAATGCCCAGGCAGGTTTGAAAAAGAACCAAAGAGAACTTTGGATGTGCCAAAAAAGAAAGAGAGAGAGAGAGAAGAGAAGAGGAGAGGAGAGGAGAGAGGAGGGGAGGGGAGGGGAGGGGAGGGGAGGAAAGAAGGGAGGAAGGAAGGGAAGAAGGAAGGGTTAAATGGCCGACTTAGATTAGATTGCTGAAGGACAATTAGATGGCTATACGGAAATTAACCCAGACTATTACAGATAAGAGCAAAGAGATGAAAATTACCAAAAAAAAGAAATTAAGAGAGTAGAAAGTAAAAGTAGTAGTCTAATATCCTTTCCCAGAAGAAAATAGAGTGAAAAGAGGCAATATCTAAAGAGATAGTTGCTGAGAAATTTCTAGACTTGATTAAAGAGTCACAGATGCAGGAAGCACCATGGACCCCAAGCAGAAAGCCATGCGTAGACACATTGGAGTGAAACCCCAGAATACCAAAGAAAACAGGAATATCTTTACATTAACAGGAGAAAAAAAGACATTACATTACCTACAAAGGAATGACAATTAGACCGGAAACACACTTCTTCCTAGCAGAAACTGCAAACCAGAAGACAGTGGGAAAATACTGTCAGCATGGAAGAGAAGATAATTTTCAACCTTGAACTGTGCACTTAGCAAAACTTCTTTCAAATACGAGCTAGTTAATTTTTCCACATTAAGGGAACTTCTAAAAATGCATTTTAAGAAGGGAATTTATGCCACAAGAAAGATGCAAGAAAGAATGATGACAAAGGAAATTGGTAGACACAGGAATTCACACAGAATTTTCAGTCTGAAATTATAAGAAGATGTATATTCCCCTGAAGAAGGAGACCCAGGGAGCTATTTAAATTAACTGAGGAAAACTTGCAGAGCTGAAACAGAGGGGAAACTTACTTTATCACCTCTAAATTAATCTTCTACAAATGGAGACCCTATTTGGCTATTATGCTCACGAAAGGAATGTAGTTACCCTTAAAATGATGTTTAAGTGAGGAAACAATGCCCCTCTCATGTTTTATCATGTATTTCAAGTATCCCCCTTTTTTTTTCTTTTAAATTAGTAGAGAAGGGGTCTTGCTATGTTGCCCAGGCTGATCTCAAACTCCTCGTCTGAAGTGATCCTCCCACCTCCCAATGTGCTGGGATTATAGGCATGAGCCACCGCACCTAGCCTCAAATATTCTAAACCTTCGTTCTTATAGTGGGTTGGGTGGTAGCCCCCAGAAAGATATGTCCACATCCTAATATCTGAACCTGTTGATGTGACCTTATTTGGAAATGAGGTCTTTGCAGTTATAATTAGTTAAGGATCTTGAGATGAAGGGATCATCCTGGATTACCAAGGTGGGCCCTAAATCTAATGACAAGTGTCCACATAATAAAAAGAAGAGCCAGAGACATAGACACACATTGGAGAAAGCACTATTCATATGGTGTGAATATGGGGGCAGAGATTGGACCACAAGCCAAGGAATGCCATCACATGCTGAGACAGCATCAGGGTTCTCCTGTAGATATTCTCGAAGGAGCATGGCCCTGTTGGATATTAACCTTCAAGCCTCCAGAGCTGTGAGACAGGAAATTTTGGTTGTTCGAAGCCACCCAGTGTGTGGGAGTTTGTTATGGCAGCCCTAGGAACTAATATAGTCCTTAACAGTTAATTTATACTTGTTTTTCAAAAACAGCAAATTAAAATTTAAAAGAAAGTTCAGTGTCTGCTATTAATGTAACAGAATGTTGAAGCTTTTTTCTAGGCGTGCTTTCTTTTCTTGTTTCTGTTCAGGATGGCATCTACCTACAGTCATGCGTCACGGAACCACAGGGATTTGTTCTGAGAAATGCATCATTAGGCAGTGTCATTGTGTGACGGTTGTAGACGTAGAGTGTTCCACAAGCCTGGATGGTATATCTTCCTGCACACCTATCGCTGCTAGGCTACAAACTGGGACAGCAGATTACTGAACACTGTAGGCAGTTGCAACACAATGTGTATTGGTGTATCTAAACATAGAAAAGGTAAAGTAAAAATACCATATAAAGGACAAAAGATATGCCTGTATTGGGCAGCTCTATTGTAATTTTTTTTTTTTTTTTTTTGAGACAGAGTCTCACTCTGTCATTCAGGCTGGATTGCAGTGGGGTGATCTCAGCTCACTGCAACCTCCACCTCCCAGGTTCAAATGATTTTCGTGCCTCAGCCTCCTGAGTAGCTAGGATTATATGCTCGCACCACCACACCTGGCTAATTTTTGTATTTTTAGTAGAGATGAGGTTTTACCACGTTGGCCAGGCTGGTCTCAAACTCCTGACCTCAGTTGATCTGCCCACCTCAGCCTCCCAAAGTGTTGGGATTACAGGCGTGAGCCACTGTGCCTGGCCTCTATTGTAATCTTACGGGACCATTGTCATATAAGCGGTCCATGCTTGACCTAAACGTTGTGGTGTGGCGTGTGGTGCTATATGGGACGTAGATGTGGCTTATTTGACCTAGTGTTGGAAAAGGGGCAGGTGGTGTCTTCAGGTGTTTGTGGTACATTCTGAATGCCTCCTGGTCTCAGCTGATGACTTGCTGGTCTGAGCTATTATTCCCTTGCCTTGTGGCCACAGAGGAGGTGGGATTAGTCCCACTTCTGGCTGTGCCTGGTGTCTGCTGCTGGTAAAATTCACAGGCTTCACTTTCCCTAGGTTCATGGAAGGAGTGAGCTTTACTCTTAAGTAGTCTTAGCCTTCAAGTCTCAATGCACCATTTCAGCGACTGCCTTAGGGTCCATGCAGGCCTGCTGGCCCTCTTGCCACTGCTCACATTGAGCCTTGCTTCACTGCTTCCTGTAGCATGATATTTTATTCTTAGTGTGGATTGTGATCCCATTTTATTGGTAAGAGAACTGAGAAATTAAAACACTTGCTTAAGATAATAGCACTGACAAAAGTAGCAAGCAGAATTATGCATAACTAACATAGTGTGTTAGACACGGTTCTAGTAATCTACCCTGAAAATTTTGTCCTTTGTCACAGATAGATATTAAAGCTGAACCTGTTTCCAGGGCATGAGATGGCCTTCCATTTTCACTTCCAGCCCAGACTCCTCAGTGCCCACCCATGATCTGTGCTCTGGAGATCCCCCTTCACCTGGGGATTTTCTTTCATTTCTTTGAGGCTCAGCTTTGTATTTAACAAAATAGGAATAGTAATATTTTACCCAGCATATACTGGTTTTTAATGTGGCAGTTTTTGTTGTCTACTGCATTGCGTGAACAGAAGTTCTGTTCTCATTCTATCAATGCTGGCAAAACTCATTATCTCAATCCAACGAGTGTTTAGGCTAAAAACCTTATTAGTTGTTCTCGGTCTTATGGATATACTTTTACTTGCATACTCTCTTTCCTAGGTTAATGAGTTAATATTGAAAGCCAAAGTCATTCAAGAAATGTTTATTATTGCTTCCTGTGTAGGCCCACATGCCTGGCTGTTTATTTTGATTTTTCCTCAATCTCAGACTTTCAAAATCAGAGAATTAAGAGATGTAGTCATCTATTAATAAAAGAACTAAGAAATCTTAACTTTCCATTGAGACTTAATTGTAGATACCATTAACATTGTAATGTAATCATTATAATAATGTCTAACAGTTACTGAGTACTTACTGATAACCAGAAAACCTAGATTTTCTCCTTTAAACATCAAAGCTTTTAGGTACTATTACTATCCTTATTTTACAAACAAGGACATAGTGATGTTCTTACATTTCTGTAAGAAATGCCATTTAACCTACATTAGTGTACCCAGTGATTTGGCATGGCAAATGTTAATATGCAAGTAGTACACAGAGGAGACTATGACTTCAGAGTGGTTAAATGGTTTGTGTAAGATATCACAGCTGGTTACTAACAGAGCTGGCTTTCCCTCCATTCATTGAGCTAACTTTTCTTAGTCCTCTTTCTAACGAGAATCTTATAGTTTAAGGCTTTATAAATCAAGTATGTATTTAAGTTAATTATAGGGGTTCCATTATCCACATGTGCTATAATAATTCACAAACACTTAGGTCATCTCATCGCAGAAGAGATTCCTCCTGCATTGCACTGTGGCTTAGCAAAACAGCACAAGGCTAGAAAGCCAGTGAGACAGGCCTGGGTCCGGCTCGGCTACTTGTCCTGACTCAGGACAGGTGTGCAGCCTCTGTGCGTTTCTCTTTCTTCACCTCTCACTTGGGATAGTCTCAGCCCTCATGTTCTATGCTTTTATATAGTTTCTTCCTTAAAAGAGCATTCTTCTGTAACATGGAGTAAAAATGAGGAGAGCAAATTTAAAAAAAAAATCATTTTAAGCCTTTCTTGAGAATTAAGTAGTAAAACATGTGGTTACAAAAATGTTTAAAATTAATCCAAAACTTTTTCTTGAAATCAAGAAAACAATTGTATTTATAATAAAATAAAAAAGAATAAAGTGTTTAGGAACAAATTTAGCAGAAGTGTAAAAATTATTCTCTGAAAACTATTAAACATTGTTGAAAGAAATTTTAAAAGACCAAAATAAAGGAGAAAGACATCCTATATTCATGTATCGGAAGGCACAATAATGTTAGCATGGGCATAGCCTCCATTTTGATCTACAGATTCAACATGATCCCTTTCAGAATCCCTGTTGGTGTTTTTGCAGAAATCAACAAGCTGATCCTAAAGTTCATATGGAAATTCAAGGGACAGAGAATAGCTAAAATAACCTTAAAAAAGAACAAAGTTGGAGAACTCATACTTCCTAATTTTTAAACTTGCCACAGAGCTACAGTAACCAGGACTGTGTGGTACTGTCATAAGGATAGACATAGAGTAAGTACATCAATGAAATCGAATTGAAAGTCAGAAATTGTCTCCCACATTTTTCATTAATTAATTGATTTTTGAGGAAAATGCTATTGAATGGGAAAAATAACCTTTCTAACAAATAATACTGAGACAGCTGGATGTCAACATGCAAATGAATGAAGTTAGACCCTTTCATCACACCATATATAAAAATTTACTAAAAATTGATCAAAAATTCAAATGTAAGAAGAAAAACTATAAAACTCATAAAAATATATAGGAATAAATCTTCATGACCTTGGATTAACGAAGCCTTCTCGAATATGACACCAAAAGCATCTGCCACACAAGCGAATGTAGACAAATTGGACTTCATCAAAATTAAAAGATAAAAAAGCTTTTATGCTTCAGAGAGCACAACCAAGAAAGTGAAAAGTCAGCCTACAGAATGAGAGAAAATCTTTGCAAATTATATAGCTGATAAGGGACTTGGATCCAGAATGTATAAAGAATTCTTACAACTCTATAATAAAAAGATAAGTAATCCGATTTAAAAATGGACAAAGGATCTGAATAGACATGTCTCCAAAATTGATATACAAGTGGCCAGTAGGCACATGAAAAGGTAGTTGCTTCATATGATTAGTTATTGAGAAGGACACATCGGAACCACAATAAGATACCACTCGGTGCCAACTAGCATGACTACAGTTTAACAGACCATAACAAGTACTGGGGAGAATGGGAAGAAATCAGAGCCCTGTTACCCTGCTGGTGGGAATGTAAAGTGGTGCAGCCACATTGGAAAAGTCTACAGTTCCTCAATTGGTAAAACAGAGTTCTCATATGACCCAGCAATTCCACCCCTAGGTATATACCTAAAAGAAATTAAAGCATACGTTCACAAAAAGGCATGAACGCTCATGGTAGCATTATTCACAAAAGGCAAAGGATGGAGGCACCACAGATAGTCATCTCGTGGACGGTTAAATAAAATTTGGTATATACATATAATAGAATATTATTTGGCCATAAAAAAGGAACAATGTACTGATTCAAGCTACAGTATGGATGAACCTTGAAAATGTTATGCTAACTAAAAGAAACCAGAAACAAAGACCAGACATTAATATAATTCCATTTATAGGAAGTGTCCAGAATAGGCAAATCTAGAGATAAAAGGTAGATTATCTGTATGCCAGGGCTAGGGTACTAGGAGAAAACTGGTGAGTGACTGCTAAATGATACAGGGTTTCTTTTTGGGATGATGAAAGTGTTCTGAAATTGATTGTGATGATGGTTGTACATTTCTATGAATATAAGAAAAGCCATTGAAGCATATGCTTTAAATGAATGAATTGTATGCTATGTGAATTATATCTCAAAATAGCTGTTCTAAATAATAGTTAAAATTACATTTTGAGCGGGCGCGGTGGCTCATGCCTGTAATCCCAGTGCTTTCGGAGGCCAAGGCAGGTGGATCACGAGGTCAGGAGATCGAGACCATCCTGACTAACACGGTGAAACCCCGTCTCTACTAAAAAATACAAAAAATTAGCTGGGCGTGGTGACGGGCACCTGTAGTCCCAGCTTTTCGGGAGGCTGAGGCAGGAGAATGGCGTGAACCCGGGAGGCGGAGCTTGCAGTGAGCCGAGATCGCGCCACTGCACTCCAGCCTGGGTGACAGAGTGAGACTCCATCTCAAAAAAAAAAAAAAAAAAGAATTAGAAATTATAGTTAATTTTGGCTAGTTATCCAAGATAACTTTAGGAACCAGATAAGAAAAGATCCACCTTTCTAGCACGACATGAAAGTTCTGGTAATATAAGAACTTGGTAGTCATATAGCTCTCGATTTGAATGCTGTTTTAGAATAGTTAATTTATATAGCTTCCCTGAATCTCAGCTTCTTCATGTACAAAATGGGGGTAATATTAGCACATGGGTTGCTCGGAAAATTAAATGAGTTACCCCATCTAAAGAGCTCAGCACAGTGCTATCAGCGATAGCCCTCATTGGAGGTGCCATAACCATCATAAGGTTGTGGTAAGAGTTGGAAGAGAAAGGCCCTTCCTCATCTTTGCAAGTGCCGTTCCTCCTGCCTGGAGTACCACCCTGTCTCACAGCTTGATGAGTCCCTTCATGACCTCACTGGTAGACTCCATTCAAGCTCCATTTCTGGTAGGCATTTCTCACGTGCGTTGCGCCTGGCAGCCATGCTACAACCCCAAAGGCTTTCCCCCCTTGCAGACCTGGCATTTTACTAGGTTCAGCACTGGTTTATTGGCCCACCTGACCCTCTCTGTGATACCTGAGAGCAGGGGCTGCTGCTTCTCTCCCAGATCCCCAGTGCCTAGCTCAGTGCTTAGTGATTGGTGGGTGCGTAGTCAACACTGGGTAAAAGAATCAATAAATTGTATGAATAGGGTCAAATACTTCCATTGGACTCCCAAACATTACTTTACTGGTAAACAGGTTAATCTGAAATGTTTTATGTTGGAATCTTCATTTAATAGTTTGCCATCATTGGTTTCTTAGTATACTTTGAGAAAATAGTATAGTCCTGACATTGAAATAATGATAAACATCAAAAAACCTAAATTTAATTCTTACAAGTCAATAGAAAAATTTTTAAAATTACTAATTAGCCACTAATTACTTACTGGCTAATAAGTAGTTTTTCATTTCGAAAGGCACTTTTTTTTGAAGGACCTCTATGTGCTATATAAACCTCTGTGGAAAGTTGAAACTTTGTATTTCTTAACATACCATCTGAATTGACAAGGGGAATTGAAAATTTGGATTTCCACGGTAGTCCCATTGTATTTCTTAATGATAATGGTGTAGGTATAAATGTACGTATCAAGTTTGTGGAGTAAGTGAATCTGGTGTATGTTTGAACTTGCGCTAAGCCACGTTCTTGCCAAAATTTGGAAAACCTATTTAGAAATATTCCCCTTATCCCTGTGCCAGCTCTCCAGAAGCCAAACACTTTGATCATAATATTTGCCTCCCTGCTTCATCTGCAAAAGAACATAGTTAAAGTCATTGGTATGTGATAAATCATGATATTCACATATCTAAACTGTATGAATCCATTATTAACTAGCTAATATGAGTATTATTACCTTGAGAATTTGGTATTAAATGGTGTTTTCTCATAACCTTACCTAGATAACAAGGTAAAACTGTCTCAGAAGTGCCTTTTAACTTTGTGATCTTTGAAAAAGCAGATAGAGTTTTCATTAAAGACCAGAGAACATTAAAACAATTTCAGTGCTTTCATCAAGATATGGCCCCTTTCAACCAATCATTTCAAAATATTACACAAAATTTAGGAGCCCTTTCTGTAAATAACACTGAAATGAATTTGGAAAGTGGCATTGCCTTAAGTATAGTACAGAGAAACTTTTGCCCAGGGGCCATATCATATCATTTGGATGGCTGTGCAGGTTTCTAAATAAGAGCCATCACCACTTATTTTGTTAAGAGAAAGGCAGCCTAAATAAATTCCTTTCTTGTTTCCTTTAACTAGTTACCCTGTGAACTAAGCTATGTTTCTTTCTCTCCCCATGAGTCCCAAAGTAGCTTTATTAATAGGAATATATGATGTTTGTGTTCTTAAAAAAAATCAGGGTGGTCTTAGATGTCTGTCGTCCATTCTGGCATTTCCCTTTATACAACCCTTTTGAATTTTCTGTTTAAAAACTGGCATTCCAACAGCTTTTCTTTGGCCTAATGCCTGGGTTGCATATTGAAGCAACAAATTAGGAATGTTAAGATGTCCCCCAAAGAAAAACGTTTGTTCTGAAAGTAGAGCTGATGTGACACATGGAATTAGGGCTTCTTAACTTGTCTAAATGACAGTTAATGATCTTTTCTCTTTTTCTTTTCTTTTATTGTTTTAACAGGGTGGCTGGGAGTGTAGAATGAAAGAAATGCCCAGAGGCCGAAATCGGGTTTGGTTCACCAAACTGTTAAATGTGTCAAGTGCACTTGACTGATACTACATCTTTTGCCTCTTTTTAGGAGCTAATTTCGTTACTCGAAAAATTAGCCGGTCAGTAGCTAAGATTTACCTTGGACAACTGGAATGTTTCAGTTTGGGAAATCTGGATGCCAAACGAGATTGGGGCCATGCCAAGGACTATGTGGAGGTAGGAACTGACACATTACATTCTTGAAAATACCCGTATCCATTGATATTCTAAATGCCAAGCGTACAGTGAAAAAGTGTGACCTAGAGGTGGGGGCATACAAACCTTTGCCAAGGCAGGTATGTTTACACTCATGCTGCTTTCACTTCAGGGATCAGTCGTTCAGGGATTGGTGGTTCAGACGTACAGGTAGCTTACACTGAATGGTACTTGAATGAGGAAAACTTTCACAAATACTCTTCCAATTATTTGTGCTGGATGATGGATAGATAGATGGAAAAAGTGTTTGAATGGTGCTCCTCTTTATTTTGGGGGTATAAAAGTACTAGTTCTCAGATCTTCTAGAAATACTGCCTCATTTCAATGTATATAATTCAAGATTCTTGGACTTACATTATTCTACTAAGTCCCGCCAAGAGTAATATTCTTATGGAACTCTGCTTTCTGCTGCTGAAGAGTCTGGTTATTACATCACACACTTCTTAACATGTTATATTGCATGTCGTTGAGCTTTACCTATTAAAGAGAGATAGAGAAAGATGTTAATAATGATTCTATTGTGAAATAATGGATATTGTTAAAGGGAAATTCAGATTTTCATTCTTGGCATTCCTAGACATGCTGTTTTGGGTTTGCATATATTACATACGCAAGTAGTATGATTTTTCTTTTATAAACAAATGGTTACCTTTTACTTTGCCCTGATCTCCCTGCTTTTAAATATCCATGTTGGTTCTGTGGTCAGACATGAGCAAGCATGGTAGAGACATTGTCCTTTCCCTGGAGTAGCCTGTCCTTGTTCAAGTGCTCACAGATTTCCTGTGCTCATGAGCCTATTTCTGTCCTGAATGATGTCTCTCTAGGAAACTGGACCCAGCTTTCTTGTTCATTTATGCAATTCAAAAAGAAACTTTAATGCCTACAAAAGAAAGCAAACAATTAGTTTGTTTGCTAGTGCAGAGATGAGGCTCACCTGCCATCTTGTTTTTGGTCATAACAATAAAAAATGTGTGTGTGTTTGAACAGCTAATACTGATTTCTGTTATGCACAAAATAATTAGCTTTGACTTTAGATTTTGAATAGTGCAACATTTAGATCTATTTATTTATTTATTTATTTATTTATTTATTTTTGAGACAGAGTCTCTCTCTGTTGCTCAGGCTAGAGTGCAGTGGCATGATTTCGCCTCACTACAACCTCGGCCTCCCAGGTTCAAGCGATTCTCCTGCCTCAGCCTCCTGCGTAGGTGGGACTATAGGCATGCGCCACCACACCCGACTAATTTTTGTTTTTTTAGCAGAGATGGGGTTTCACCATTTTGACCAGGCGGGTCTCAAACTCCTGACCTCAGGTGATCCACCCGCCTTAGCCTCCCAAAGTGCTGGGATTACAGGGATGAGCCACCGTGCCCAGCCTAAATCTTTTAAATATGTGCTTCTAAGCTATAATTACAAAGAAGCATTTTATGACATTAATCCTTAGATTTATTTTCAGAACATCACATCAAAAAATATATAGGTTCACGCTTAGAAATTATGAGAAAGTAGATACTGGCAAGAGAAGCCAAAACTTTCTTTTGTCTAACCTAAATGACCTTACCTACTGAAAAATATGAGGCTTGTTATGTAAAAATACATTATTTTCTCAATAATATCTATTTATTGTTTAGCCTTCTAGCCATCAGCATCTGCATAGAGCTACATAGTAAGCTATAGGTATTCTTTTTTTTTTTTTTCTTAAGGCAGAGTCTCGCTCTGTTGCCAGTCTGGAATGCAGTGGCACAATCTTGGCTCACTGCAACCTCTGCCTCCCGGGTTCAAGCGATTCTCCTGCCTCAGACTCATGAGTAGCTGGGACTACAGGCGCGTACCACGACGCCCAGCTAATTTTTATATTTTTAGTAGAGACGGGGTTTCACTGTGTTGACCAGGATGGTCTCCATCTGTTGACCTCATGATCCACCCACCTTGGCCTCCCAAAGTGCCGGGATTACAGGCTTGAGCCACTGCACCTGGCCCTATATAGGTATTATTTATCCAAACTCTTCTCCAAGTTCAAGGAACCAAATCGATTAAATTTCATTCAATTTTATTATTTTGCACGTAGGTGAAAAAGGATTCGGAAATCTAATAGATTTTGATAGTGAGGGAAACAGTATACCATAATGTTGATAGTGCTTTTTACAGGTTGTGTTTATTTTCTTCTTTATACTGTCTTTATTTTCCATAGATTTTAAATGAACATGTGTAAACCTTTGTAATTGGCCGGGGTAGGAGGTGACATTTCAGAAACAGGCCAAAAAGTCTCATGAAAATGAATGAGAGTGTTAAGTAAGTAAGGAGGAAGTCTTGTGTCAACGAGTAGATCTGAAAGAAGGACGCTGCTGTCATCTCACTTCCCAAATGCCAAGCTAGCTCCACTGTGAGTGTAGTCCACATCTGGGCACAACACTTCCCAAATGCCAAGCTAGCGCTGCTGCGAGTGTAGTCCACATCTGGGCACAACAGGCCCACGTTTGAATTAGCATAAAATAAAAATATTTTATATACATTTTGGCTCCAGTAGGGGTTGGTGCAAAAAGGTCGTGTTCAGTGAAGTCATTTATGATTGTTTGACAAGGCGGTGTCATTACAGCCTTTCACAAGCCAGCATGTGCACACAGCACGCTACCCTCTGAGTAAAAACACAGCAACACGCTACCCTCTGAATAAAAATACACCAACACGCTACCCTCTGAATAAAAATACACCAACACGCTACCCTCCGAATAAAAATACACCAACACGCTACCCTCTGAATAAAAATACACCAACACGCTACCCTCCGAATAAAAATACACCAACACGCTACCCTCTGAATAAAAATACACCAACACGCTACCCTCTGAATAAAAATACATCAACACGCTACCCTCTGAATAAAAATACACCAACACGCTACCCTCTGAATAAAAATACATCAACACGCTACCCTCTGAATAAAAATACACCAACACGCTACCCTCTGAATAAAAATACACCAACACGCTACCCTCTGAATAAAAATACATCAACACGCTACCCTCTGAATAAAAATACATCAACACGCTACCCTCTGAATAAAAATACATCAACACGCTACCCTCTGAATAAAAATTTGAAATGGTCAGATTCCATGGAGAGACAGATAGAAAGTTAGGTCATTCTCCTTGCCATCCAAGCCTTGATTTGTTCTATAATACAAGTGGGTCTTGTGTATTAAGGACTCTCCTGGGTTTCTAATATGTTGATGATGTAGGAAGCATTTTATAGTTCTCATTTATGTGTTCTGAACAAAGTCTAAATTACGTTTATTCAGTAAGAATTTATAGCTTGGTACCCTCCGTTTTAAGAAATATGATCATTCCTTGCAATTTTAAGTGTATTAACATAAGATTACTTCAGAGATTTATGACTAAAGGTAAATTTGTTGCCAAAATTAAAGTCAGCAATCATAAAAATGAAAAAGGAGAGGTATTGTTTGTTTAAAACACACATGCACCCTGACACTGAAATCAACTTTAGAATAAAGAAGTGTTTGCAAATGTAGGTCAAACAAGTCATAATACCATCTCATTTACACACACGTTTTAATTATACAGCTGAAATGGGAAAGGTTCCCTTATCCCCCTCGCAGAGCGTGTGATGGTGGTATGGGTTGCTTCCTCAGTGCCCCACTGCTCAGACCTCTTGGAGGAGCATGCAGATGGGCAGGTTGTGGGGCTCAACCCCACAGCAGTATCTAGGGGTGAATGTTTACAGCTGAAGCCTCTGTGCGCATGTGTTACAGGGTGCTCTTTCAGTTTAGCCATCCATAGGTGGCTTGTGTTAGCTCAGTTAGACCCCTTTCCTTATCTCCAGGACAGAGGGCTTTCTGTATCCTGAGGTTCTTGCTTTGGTATACTGGAAGAATCAGATCACACGTGGGCTTGGAGAATGAGTGCAAGGTTTTATTGAGTGGAAGTAGCTCTCAGCAGATGGGGGAACCAGAAGAGAGATGGTGTGGGAAGGTGGTTTTCCCCTGGAGTCGGGTCTCTCAGTGGCTGGAGCTCTCCTCTCTCCGCCCCAGCCAAACTCGGCATAGTTCCACCCGTCTGTGGCCTGCCGGTGTGCTGGTGCCTGTTGGTATGCTCTCGACATTCTCTCAATATCCAGCTGCTGGTGTGTTCCTCTTGATGTTCAGCTGCTTGTGTCTTGGGGTTTTTATAGGCACAGCATGGGGGTGTGGTGGGCCAGGGTGGTCTTGGGAAATGCAGCATTTGGGCGTGAAGGCAGGAGTGCCTGTCCTCACCTAGTCCGTGGGCATAGGCCTGGGGGTGGAGCCCTCACCAGGGACCTGCCCTTCTCCTCCCGGCACTTCCCTGCCCCTCTTCCGTATCACAACCTCTCTCTTTTATATGCAAAAATTTTAGTAAACCTTCAGATGAAGTGACTGACACTTTTTTACTTGTCAGTGAATTTCCATCATGAAGAGCAGAGAGCATTTTCTCCTCGTGTTGTGAGGTGGGTGCTGGTTATCCCTGCTGTGCAAGTACATTGTTTCTCAGCTTAGACAAGCTGTTTTATCTTGATTTTTCCATCTGTGTAAAGGACAGAATATAAACCCTGTAAAAAATTAGCATCAGTGTGCTATACATACATACATGAATAAAGTTTACCTCTGACTTGTAAAAATTTTCACAATGATTTATAAAAAGTCCTTACTTGTTGCTGATTCCAATTTATTTTCATCCATCTGTAGTCTTGCTTCCTAGATCAAGATGTTTTCAAAGTTATTTAAATGAGTGAGAAGTATTTCAACTTGAAGAAAAAAATATATACAGCTATATTAAATTATATTGTACTTCTGAATAAAGTCATAGGCAGTTAGATCTCTTCCAGTATTTTATTATAAAACTTTTTAAACATACAGAATAACTGAATAAATTTTACCTCAAACACCTGCGTACCACCCAGATTCTGTAATTAATGTCTACAATTACTGTTGCATTTTGAACAAAAATTAGTATTTAAGTAATTACTGTAGTGCTAATGGCTTACAGCTACAAATATTCAATTTGCACAAACACAAGCTACTAAAAATTTGCATTTTATGGGGTATAGATAGCAGTTCAAACTTTTTTTTTTTTGAGACGGAGTCTCGCCGTCGCCCGGGCTGGAGTGCAGTGGTGCGATTTCGGCCAGTTCAAACTTTTAAAATATTTTTATCTTAAGTATTTACCTGACCCCTCTACAACCTGCTTTTATGCCCACCTCTCTCCATATAGGCTCAAGCAGCTTCACGAGAACACTCTAGTGGCAATGCGCCATTTTCAACCAATGTCCAGCAGTCAGGATTATAGCAGTGGTGGCAGAAAACACTAAGGGAGAGAACCTCTGACTTCTCAGGGTGGCACTGTTCATTCAACATGTATTCTATTGAGTTCCTGCCATGGTCACAGTTCTGGTTGCTACAAATGGCAGTATATGGTCCCAATGAGATCCCACTTTGATATAAATATGTGAAACACAACTATAGCCAGAACATATTGACTGATAAGCTAAATGGTAGGAGCTGGGCCAGAGTATCTTCAGGCTTTTACCACCCACAAAAAAGGCCCCTTGCTCTTGGGAGACAGGGTTAATCAAGAGACCTAAGTCCAGCCTCTTTCCAGGACTCAGTAAAAGCCATGTATAAAGTGGCAAGAGGTTTTCCTGCTACAGCTAATCCCACAGATGCTCCAGAAGGGTCCTACTGGTAACCCAGAGGACGTGAGGATCGTTAGGGGTGAGCGTTGAAATTCATCAGAATTTAACGTCATATACCTGCATCCTTTTTTGTGTGGAGGTGGCAGGGGACAGTGAGCACAGACTGAATCATAACAAAACTACTTTTAGAAATAAACGTAATTGCCAAATGTTAAGCACTTATTATATGCCAGAAACTTTTGAAGACTTCTTATAGGTTTTAAATGTAAGAAAGAGTCTGGCTGAGACAGCTGTCAGATCTTGCCGAACCTATGCTATTGGCTGTATCAGGTAAAGAAGTAAAGGGTGTGTTTGGGGAAAATATGTAGTCAGGTCTCCAGCCCCCTCTATCCCTTGTCCTCTGAATGAATTTACCTTCATTCCAGCTCTCAGTTCTCAGCTAATACAGAGACCTGGGGAAGGTGAGGAGCCTCTGGAAGGGTACATAGGTTACAGACAGAGCTGGGAGAACTGCCCACTGCTGCCCAGTCCTTTCTTTCCTATCTGTCCATCTTCTACTAGCATTTTGTATCCTATGTTACACAAATCTGGAAGGAAGAGACGTCATTTAAACTTTGAGATCTTATTTAAGGGAAGTTTGCTTGTTGCAACATCACCATTGATGTCGGATTTTTCACGACCCTTTCACTGGACTTGTGACAGGGTGCTCCGTTTACTTGGCCCACCATGCTCAACCGCTTGTAGGAGGGAGCGCGTGAGTGAGCGAGTGCGGGATCCGGCTGGCTGCTGCTCTGTGCGCTGGCAGGAACAAGCTCCATTTACTCAGCCTGCTGCGCTCAACCCCTTGTGGGAGGGAGCACGTGAGAGAGCAAGACCAGCTGCTCTGGTCACCAGCAGGAGCAATCTTCGTGTGAGTGTTGCTGTGGTACACAGGTGGGGGTGCCTGTGACCCTGAAGCCCCAGAGGGTGTGTTACAGTGCTCTCTTAGCTCTGCCGTCTGTGGACAGCAGTGTGTTATCAACTCGGTTGGTCCTTTGCCTCGTCACGTGGAGCAGCTGCCCTCTGCCAGCGAAGGCAAAGGGCCAGTGTGACAGCTTTTTTTGGGTACCCGCACTCAGTGGGTCCTGAGCTCTTGTTGGGAGTCCAAGAAGAATGAGGTAGTGTGGACACTTGAAGGATGGTGAAGGTGGATGTATTAGTCCGTTCTCATGCTGCTGATAAAGACATACTGGAGACTGGGTGTTTATAAAGACAAAGAGGTTTAATGGACTCACAGTTCCACGTGGCTGGGGAGGCCTCACAGTCATGGTGGAAGGCGAAAGGCACGTCTTACATGGCAGCAGGGAAGAGAGAGAATGAGAGCCAAGTGAAAGGGGTTCCCCTTTTAAAGCCAACAGCTCTTGTGAGACTTACTACCATGAGAACAGGATGGGGGAACCGCCCCCATGATTCAGTTATCTCCCACCAGGTCCCTCCCACAACACGTGGGAATTATGGGAGCTACAATTCAAGATGAGATTTGAAAGGGGACGCAGCTGAACTGTATTAGTGGAGGATTTTATTTAGCAACGGAAATGGCTCTCAGCAGAGACGGGAGCTAGCTGTAGATGGGACGGGACAAGTCTTCCCCTGACGTCCAGCCGGCTCTTCCCTGAGTCAAGCCATCTCTCTTCCAAAGTCCAGCTGCTCTCTGAAGTCAAGTTTTCCCTCTCCAGTCAAACCACGTTTCTCTCTTCTACTGACTGAGTCTGGGGTCTTTATAGGCAGAGGATGGGGTACAGGACGGGCTATCGGTAGTTTTGAAAAAGGCAACATTTGATGGGCAAAAAGGCATTATTCCGAAGGAACCATTCAGGAGAGAGTGGGCAAACAGGAGTAGAGTTGTCGCCTTGGGCCGTGAGTTTCAGGCTTTTTGGTTTGAAGGTGGAGCTTCACCAGGGACCTGCCCCTGTCTGCCTCCTGCCTCTGTCACCATCAGTAGACCATGTTTGTTCATATGCAGGAGAGTAGCATATAGCAGTAGTATCTTTTTGTGTTTCCATTGTCTAAAGTGTTAGTGGTGCCTGAATCCATTTGTTAGTAAGGCCTTACTTAACAGAAAGCAACGGTGAGGTTGTATCTGTCTCATAAAGTGACAGTGGTCTGGAAAAACCAGGGATCTGCTGAGAGCTCTCTATCTTAACAACATCGTTCCTGTCTTCCTAGCAGAGGGGAAGGCATTGTGTAACTACGTGCAGAGGATATTTACCTGGGGAGTTTCCTAGAAAACCTATTCTATTAGAATCTTTGTCAAGTGACTGTTTGTTAGGTAATAAGGTCAGCAATTGAATTTCTACTCACTGTGGGAGTCTAATTCCATATTATTACTTAGGAGCCTAAGGTGTTCTTTCTTGGAAGGGAAATATGTCAGTGGCCTCCTCACTGAATGTGTTGTAATACTCATCGATTTTTTATTTTGACTTTTTATATTGATTAGTGAGGTATTGCTATTGTTTTCCATTGTGGGAAAAAATCTTCTAGCCTTCTGTGGAGCTATTTAATATACTCTCTTTGAAAAATATTCCAAGAAATACAAATGAAAATAACTAAATAAATAGTCTCTCCTTTATCTGTATTTAGAAGAACGTGGTTTCTGTGTTGTTTCTAACAAACCAAACATTTAAGAAAGGCAATTCAAGGGCCTTGATTAATAAAGAAAAAAGAACAGCTTTATTTATAGGAAAAGAAAAGCTTGTAACAGTTTCCTGCATCTTTGAAACATAAAATGTTTAGATTAAGCAAAAAACCATTTTCCTGATCTGGCTATGGAAAACTCTGTATAACAAATTCAGCTTGCCATTTCTCTTTTTTTCTCTTCTTCATCCTGTGCAGTAAACTTTTCAGTGTATTATTTAAAATAAGTTAAGAAAAATGTAGAAAATCAATTGCCTGTTTTATCTGGCTAGGTCTTGCTTGATTGGAATGACATCCCAGAAGCTGCTGTGTCCCCAAATAAGAACCTGTAGAGCCCGTTTTAAATTGTTGTTTAATGAAAGACACCTGTATCACCCATATTTCTAGTATGAATTGAGTTTTCATTTACAGATAGTTTAGAAACATGAGACTGGGTGCATTCTTAGATCACATTTTCAGTTTGATTTAAACCACATAAAATTGAGCATATGTCATTAAATCAGAAAAGCAGTTATTGGCCAGGGTATGTATGGAGAGAGGATGCAAATGCATAGAGAATAAAGTTGCATGTTCATATAAAATGGGTTAGGTATAGTGCCTGTGGACGTGGATTATGAGGGTTATGAAACTTCATGTAAGTGCTGCTTAAGTTCTAATGGGTAGCAATTAACCACATTAAGATGGAAGCTTGTACTCCACCCTTTAGTCACGCTCATTGATGTGAAGGGTCATTATACCATTGCAGATCATGAAGTGACCCATTGTACTTAAGAAAGTCATGGTGCTAGTCTTGAGAGCAAAACTCCTAGGAAAATAGTGTAAGAAAATTCTTACACTAAAGAACTGTTCACACTTAGGTTAGCTATTCACTTTCACACTTACCAAGTCCATGAGATTCCTTGAGCTTTCTCAGTCCACCCCAGCCTGTTCTGCCCTTCCTCTTTCCCTGCCCTGCTCCCCACCTGTCTCTTCTTTCACTGACGTCTCCCACTTTTTTGTGACTTCTGTGAAAGTCTGGAAAATCTGAAAATATGAACTAAACTGACTGTTTAATTTTAATAACAAGACTGTCCACAGGAAATAGATGTAAATATCTCTCACAAGATGTGACATCATCTAAATTTAGTGATGATTTTGCTTATATCTTCAATATTCAGTGCTTCATCTTTATACTCATGCACTCTGGAGAGGGCAAAACGTATTTGCAATCAAGGCAGTCTTTTGCACACATACCATACGTTAATCACTCTATCTCTCTTGCTCTGTCTCTTTCCTATACACACACAAGCTAGAAGTCAAATCTCTGTTTTTGAATGCATGCTAAAGTACTGTTTGGCTTTATCCTACTTATTAGCACCTTTATTGCAGGAAATAATTGACTAAAATTACATGTTTTGTCTTTGCAGAGCTCTGGTGGAGAAGCCTGGGGGCTCTGCTCTGTCCTTTTTTGGGCCACCTGAATGCCCAAGCCCAAGCTCCAGGTTCCCAGGCTCATCCTCAGGGGACCCTCTAATACAAGCATGTTAATCTTGCCTTTGTATCCAAAGACACAAAACAAAACCTTTTTTAAGTTGAATGTTCCCGAAAGCAAAGAAACACATTTTATTTTCAGCCCCGTTCACTTCATGCTGGAAAACATCTCTTCTGCTTATTCCGTGGGAAGGAATTATAGCAGTAATGCCACAAAGATTCTCCTTATCCTTTTTCTCAGGTAAAGAAGAAAGTTCAATCCTCTCTGTGAGTGTTGGGTCATTTGTATCTGTTATTTCAGTTTTCTACCTGTTGACTTCAATACAGCTGGGATAATTGATGGCTTTGTAGTGCTGATTTGATCCTGAAATCCCTGTGACTCTGATTGATGGCCCAGGGCATCAACGGTAAGACCTGGCAACACGGAATGGATACTGTAGGAAATGGGCCAGATCTCGTGTAAGAATAAGATGTTTAACACTGACTTGCTGGAGAAATAAGTTTAATATAGGCTGGGGACTTGGTTCCATGTGCTTCTACTCTATGCCTTATTGAAGGTGAAGAATATTCAAAAGCCATTGTACTCTTGGGATCAAATTTCCAGAGGATTTTTGACTTGTTAGAGTTGCTTCAGAAACTATGCTGCATATGCCCCAAACAGATAAATTTGAGGTATAGTTAAGTGAAAGTCTCCTTTTCCTTTTAGAAGAGAAAAACAATTGGACTTCTACTAGGGCCAGTTAGTTACAGGTACAGTTTACAGAAGCCGAATTATGTAAAGGCAAAATTGAGAAATCCTTTGAGAAATTGTCTTTACATTGTTGGCCTAAGCCTCATATGGAAATTATTAGTAGAGTTCTCAAAGAAAGGGATGAAATTACTCCATAGGATAGCTTCCCTAAGTACCTCTCAGAGTTATGTAAAATATTTGAGATCACTTTTACCATTTTTTCTCATAGAGAGAATGGTTGGGCTCTCACTATAGAGAGAAAAGTGAGGGAGACCTCTGAGGAGCAGTCAGGACTTTGTTAGCTATCTCATGTCGGTCTCTCTTGGGGAAGCTCCTTGAAGGCAGGACCTGGATCCTATCCCTCTTTATCTTTAATCATCCCTCCCAACATGCCTGGCACATAACAGATGCCCAGTAAATACCTGAATTGGATCTCCCTGCCCATCATTTCTTTATAAAATTATAAAAATGAAATCTGTATATATGAAATGTGTTCCATTTCTCTTACTATTAAAAGATGCTTTCTTTAGCTAGCACAAGACATTGCCCCCAGAATATGATCTTACCACACTTAGGTTGAGTTGTGCTAGATTTACTTGATATCAGCAAAATGTTTGCAAGCACCTTTCTTTCTGGTTGAGTGCAGATCATAAATGAAAGGAAGTAACGTCTATATGTTCTCACACAGTGGCCAGTTTCCTGATTATCTCTAGATTCTACTATTATTAGACTTTATTCCTAGCTTTATTTTTACTTTTGATTTACTTATTTATTTTGAGGTAGGTCTCACTCTGTCACCCATACTGGAGTGCAGTGGCATGATTTTGGCTCACTGCAGCCTTGATCTCCCAGGCTCAAGTGATCCTCCCACCTCAGCCTCCTGAGTAGCTGGGACTACAGGCATGTACCACCATGCCCGGCTGAATTTTTTTTTCTTTTTAGTAGAGATGAGGCCTCCCTATGTTGCCCAGGCTGGTCTTGAACTCCAGAGCTCAAATGATCTGTCCACCTCGGCCCCCCAAAGGACTGGATTATAGGTATGAGCCACCATGCCCGGCCTTATTCTTATTTTTAAAGGAAGAATATCTGAGCAGATAGAAAAATGGAAAGGCAGAAGGATAAACTGGCCCTGTTTTACAAAATAATATTTAAAAATCACTAATATACCATTAGCTTATAAGACCAAGTACCCATGGGAGTACTTGATGATATTGACATCAGCTCATTCAGAAACCTTTTTGTGTGATCATCACTCTATTTCCTCTCAGTTTTCAAGGATCTCATTTGTTAGAGGATTCTTCTAGAGAGCCAGAGTTCCAAGGAGGGCTCTATTATTATGGAAAACCGTCACACTCTCCCATCCCTTCTCTTCTCCCCTCTCTATCCTCTCTCTCAGTCTGTACCCATCACCAACACATGCAAATTAGAAGCAGGTCATGTTGTAATAATAGGACTTTATTTTTAAATACATATAGAATTTAAAGATTCTTATGTATTTATTTGACAGTGGCTCTGGGAATATCTGTGGAAACAGTGCAGTAAGAAGAAAAGAAAAGCCTTCTGCAGTACCATTTTCTGTCCCTCGTGAGTGTGATTTCATTTCCTCCCTGGTCGCACATCACCCACATGCTCAGACGACATATCCCTGTTCTTGGGTCCGTCCTCCAGCTTCTGACTCACAGAGCAGAGCGATAGTCTGTGGGTGCCTGTGTTGGAGGGTACAGGTTGCATTCCAGGAAGGTGACTCGGCTGGCATCCTGCCTCTCGGGGCATTCTGTCACCAAGTCCACAGGATACAGATACCCCATTCAAGGTAGCAGAGCTGCGCCTACTTTGTCTCAACAGAAAAAGGCAGAGATGAGGATTTCAAGGGCTGCATAGTTTCATGTGCTTTTTCTTACAGTGTGTCCTTTAGTCAAGAATTACTTGCTGGTTTTGCCTGGGTCTCAAATTTCAAGTTTGAAAATAAAATATAAAGATCTATCACTAGAACTTATTTTAAACCCTGGAAGATTGTCCTATTCTATTCCTGTAGTGCTTTGTCATTTACATCTTTGTATTTGATTCTCCCAACACATATTTGACCATGGTTAGGAGAGCACGGATTGTTTTTTGTCATTTTCATAGGAAAAGGCTGACATTGAAAGGAGAAACCCTTGTTTGATGTCTTCTCTTGGTATCAGGCAGTGGGTTCCAGCCCTGCTCTGCCAACTCCTCAGTGCAGTGACTTACCATGATACTGTGCCATGTTTCTGGGCTGATTTTTGGTATATTTAGTCATTCTTGTGAGATTTTTAAAGTCATTTTTTTTTAGTGACTTCAAGTGTTGATTGTGTAGCAAACGTATTCCTCTCGCTAGGTATTACATATAAACTAGCATCTCTACTGCTGGCCTAATACCTCTAATCATCCTGTGAAACCACTCCAGTGTGAGGAACTGAGTGTGAAGGAAACTGTAGAACATCTGAGGAGCCACATGTGAAAAGGCCAGTCCCTGTGTCCTAAACAGACTTCCTCTACATTAAGCAGTCCTTTAATAGTTGTACAATCATATAATTTGAAGAAGATATCCATTCTGTACAGGAAATACAAGTTTAACAGAAGTCGTTTCATTTGATCCTTATCTTCAAAAAAAAAAAAACCTGAAGAAGCTTGAAGACGTGGCATGGGTGGTTTAGATTCCATTGCCTTTTGTCAGTGGCAGTAGAAGCCTCATTGTAGTTAAGCATCTGCCTGGGCCTCTGGGAAAACAAAGCATCATTAACTGGCTGGCTAATGAGTCATCTATTAAAATTATCCCTAATGAATTGTGGGTTTGCTTGTTTAATTGCGCGTGGTATTGTGCTCTCAAATGTTAGCAGTCCAGTGGGGCTCAAAGAAATTACACTGGCTTTATTGAGCATTTCAGTAGGATTCTTCCTAAGTCACTGTGCCACGATTGGCTCTCTCTCTTTCTCTCCCTCCCTTTTTCGTCTCTCTCTCTTTCTTTCACTCTCCTTTCCCTCTGTTCATCCCTACCTCTCTTTTTCCCTCTTCCCTTTCCCTCCTTTCCCTTCCCCTCCCTTCAGCTCATCTCCTCTCTCTCTCCCTTTCTTTCACAGATTGTGGGGTAGGAATACAATATGAAAACTCTTACTTTGGAGAATCTGCGCTAATGGCATCTTGAGTATGAACAGCCCCCCACCCCCGCACGTGAAGGGTTGATAGAGCCTGGTGAGCAGCTGGCAGACGCCCCATTTTCCTTCAGCTGCACCCTCACGTTTCATCAGCGCTGGTCACTGTGGGCGTGCTACCTTGTAACTAGGTGGCTGCTGGTCTTCCTTTCCCTACAGCCATGTTGTCAGTCTAGAATGGGGTAGCAAAAACATCATAGGAATAAAGGGCTAAACTACGTAAAAACCATGATTGTATATTGAAAAATGCTTAATGACAGTTTTTACACCAGTAAGAATGCCAAGATCTTCAGGTACAGCTTAGCTTCCACCTGCGAAGCCTGCGTGAGCAGTGGCTGGGCGGGACATGTCTGAATGGTGAAGGTGTTGCCACCTCCCAATATGGCCCTTTCTTTATGAACAGCTCTAATGGTCAGTTGTTATTTTAAAGTCAAAGCCTTCCTTGAGCCTGAAACCATGAATTAAAATATCCAGTTAGTCTTTATTTTCAAGTTCAAAACCTTATTGCGTACTGAAAATGCATGAACTACTGGACACTTTTACAAGCTTACTTTCACAGGAGTCTGGTAAGATACGTGCTATTCTCATATTTTTCTCACTAGAGGGAAAACATAAGGCATAGAGAGAGAGGCTTGCTGAGTCTGGCCCAGATCAGGCGCGTTCATTCGGCCGACCCTTGTGCTGGCTGTACCCTGCACTGTGATGCTCTCTCTGCCTCCCACATGGCTGCCAGAGTCGCCTTTCTGAGATACAGATACTGTCATATTTCAACTTAAAACCATCACTGTCTCCACCATGGAATAAAGGCCGCTGTCTGGAGCATGCATTCTCGGCCTTGGGCAGGGCCCCAGCGTCCTCCTCCGGAGCTGGGAGCTGCTGGCCCTGCACCGTGCCGGCCCTGGGCTGCCCCTGCTGCTTGCCCTTGGAGTCCTGCCCTGCTCAGGCTCAGCACTCAGCTGCCTCTGCAGATGCCCTCCTCAGGGGCCCTACTCTCCTGGCCACTTCACTGAAGAATTGGCCATTTCCCGCCTTGTCTGCAATGCTTTATTCTCAGCCCTGTGAGCCTCTGCCAGGGCCTGGCTGACAATGCTTGCATCTGGCCCCTAGCATCTCTCACAGCGTCTTGAACCCCGGTGCTCAACTGCCTGAGATTGAACTCAGTCAAACCAACTCAGCCTCAAATCCAAGTGTCCAGCTTCTTTATGGGAAAAGCAAAACCACTGGTTCTGTGGGGACACATATTCTCTGCAGATACAGTGGATGGTTCGAGGTCTAAGGGCATGCGAGGCCTCCGTGCTGCTCTCCCTTTAGTGGATGCCAGCCACCTGCTGTAGCTGGAGCCCAGGGTGGGCAATGGCTGGCCACTGCCTGACTTGCAGACCTCCCAAGGTATCCTCACCATCCCAAGGTCATGACAACCTCGCACACTTCTGCCCAGGCCTAAGCAGGAGGGGGGCCTGTGTGGGAGAGAGGGCCTAGCACCTCACTCATCAGAGCTGTGTACATGACCACACTGCTGTGCTTCAGGGAGGCCCAGTGGCTGGATGTTGAGCTTTGCAGACACCAGTCAAGAATGATGGGTAGTTGGGCGCGACAGGAGAGGATTCAGAATTTGCCATCCAAAGCCCTGTGAGACACAAGACTAAGGCCCAGTGCCTGGTGCAGTTCTGCCTTTGACATTGTGAGGGGCGCACCTTGGGAACTTGGAGCACAGGGATCTTCCCTGGAAATAGTCTCAGGTGTCACTTGTCACCCTGCATTGGGACTTCATGAGACTGTGAATAACTACAGTAAACCAGATGTGCAAGAAGCCAGAGTCTAGGTTATAGTTACTTCAGACTCTGTATTTAAAGATTCTCTCTTTTTTTTCTTTTTTTTTTTTTTGAGACAGAGTCTTGCTCTGTTGCCCAGGCTGGAGTGCAGTGGTGCGATCTCGGCTCACTTTAAGCTCCACCTCCTGGGTTCACGCCATTCTCCTCAACTGGAGGATTCTACGCCTCCCAAGTAGCTGGGAATGCAGGCGCCCACCACCACGCCAGGCTAACTTTTTGTATTTTTAGTAGAGATGGGGTTTCACCGTGTTAGCCAGGATGGTCTTAATCTCCTGACCTCATGATACCCCGGCCTCAGCCTCCCAAAGTGCTGGGATTACAGGCGTGAGCCACCGCGCCTAGCCCAAAAGTTCTCTTAATTAAAAAAAAAAAAAAAAAAAAAAAAAACAAACAAAAAACGCTTTCATGATAATTGACACACGTTCTATGTAACACAAATCATATGCTGGCTTTTGGCTCCCACAGTTTAGCAGCAGTGCCTAAATGGGATTGCTAGTAGCATTTCTCCCATCAGCAGAAAGATCTATAGGATGGATATACTGTATTATTTTTTCCTTTCCCCCCGTACATCCACTCACTGATGTAGATGGGAACATAATGCAAACTTAAGCTTGCCTTATTTACATAAATCTTCCTGTTAGCTTTCCGCTTTACCATATCTGCATTTTTATGTTTGACCTATTAGTACTTTTTTGGTTTTATAAAGAAAAAAAAGTGCTTCCCTCAGCAGAACCATCTGGCTTCGTTTCCTGTTCCTCAGCAACTATATGTGTATTCTAGCAGGGCCACCCCTGTGGTTTTCTGAGTGGTGCTGTTTCACTGGTGGTCTTAGAATTCAACTGGAGTGATGGAAAACTTATACTATGGGCTTCTTTCAAGTCTAAAGTTTCCAAGGTGAAAAAGTGCATATTATTGTCATTTTTGACATAGCCTTTTTTTCCCTGTGACTGGAATATGGTCTTTTAAAACAAATCACACCCTTCTATTCTTTGAGGAAGAAAACTCACTTCTAAAAATGTCTTTTAGATAGTTTGCTACCAAATTTCCTTGGCAGCAAACTGAGGCAACTGAGAATATAATCCAGACATTTTTACCACATGCAAACTTTCTTTTTTTTTTTTTTTTTTTTTGTTTGTTTGAGACGGAGTCTCGCTCTGTCGCCCAGGCTGGAGTGCAGTGGCAGGATCTCGGCTCACTGCAAGCTCCGCCTCCCGGGTTCACGCCATTCTCCTGCCTCAGCCTCCCGAGTAGCTGGGACTACAGGCGCCCGCCACTACGCCCGGCTAATTTTTTGTATTTTTAGTAGAGACGGGGTTTCACCGTTTTAGCCGGGATGGTCTCGATCTCCTGACCTCGTGATCCGCCCGCCTCGGCCTCCCAAAGTGCTGGGATTACAGGCGTGAGCCACCGCGCCTGGCCCACATGCAAACTTTCTTAAAGGGTCAGTTATTAATAACTAGTTTTCTTGATCAAATAACAATAAATGAGCAAGTTAACAATAAACAATGAGCAAATTACATAACTAAAGGGTGTGGCATTCAGTTTATAGTTTGTGTGGCAGAGGTAAGGTCAGTCTCATCCAGAAGGGCAATGTGTAATGCTGCTTTGGGCTTGTGGTACACACAGAGAATCCCAGCTGGTCACTGGGCACATTTTCAGAGGGGTGTGTGCATGAGGTTGAAATTCTGTATTTTTATGTTGTAATATTCTACAGATTTTGAAAATTTTCTGACCAAGTGTGCACTTATTTTTCACTTTGTGAAATACTGCTTTCTAAATCTTTGTTTTTAGAAACAGTCACCAAAAGGTTTTGTTTGTATATATATATTTCATTTTTTCTCTTTTTCTGTTTTTGGTCTGTGCACATCCCACGGGTAGTTGAGATCCACAAGCTATGGAGAGAGGAAGACCCCACAGTATTTTCTTTTTCTTTTTTTAAGGGAAGGTGGGGTATCACATTCACCCAGTAGGCACTACATTTCACATTTGGATAAGACTTTGTTTTATAACTGTTTGTATTTAAAGCTTTCAAATTTTACTGTGTAAGGTAATGCAAAGTGTTTAACCTGTTACCTATCACATAGAAAGAACTCTAAAAAGTTGGAGTGCTCCCCACAGTCCTTTGATTAGATCACTTTTTAAAAAATTTTTTTTAGACAAAGTCTCACTCTGTTGCCCAGGCTGGAGTGCAGTGGCGTGATCTTGGTTCACTGCAACCTCTGCCTCCTGGGATCAAGCCATTGTCGTGCCTCAGCCTCCCAAGTAGCTAGGATTACAGGCGCCCGCCACCGCACCTGGCTAATTTTTGTATTTTTAGTAGAGACAGAGTTTCACTGTTTTGGCCAGGCTGGTCTCAAACTCCTGACCTCAGGTGATCCACCCGCCTCAGCCTCCCAAAGTGCTGGGATTGGAGAAGTGAGCCACCATGCCCAGCCAAGATCACTTATTTTTAGTGATCAGAAATGGTCGATTCTAAAATGATAAGATTATGAAATCTTTATTCTTCTCCTTAGTTTGAAAAAGTCTTCAAATGTAGCCTCAGACCTATTATTTTTTATGAAGAGTTTAGAGACATTGAAAAAAACTCTGTACTAGAGGATTTGGTTTTTGGAGGTGTTTTTTCCCTACAGAGTAGTTCGTGGTCCCTCAAAGACCTTGCTTAGTCAGAATGTTGCTTGAAGGTGTGCAAAGTTGAAGGGAATGCTCATTTTTAATTTTAAGAGGAAGGAAAAAAGTTAAAAATTGAGGCTAATAAAAGTTAATGAGGAACATTTAAATCCTTCAATGGTTCAATTTATGTTGCAAGTCAGAATGGTTCATGCCGTTATTATATGTGTGTGGCAACATCCTCTCTCTGCTGTAATTCTTTTCCCTTGAAAACTAGCCCATGCAGCGTGGAAGGCATATCATACTCTCATGATTGCTGTTCATTCTTTTGACAAATTCCACGGCTTTTTTTTTTTTTAATAGGGGAAAGAACAGGCACAAGGAAATTAAAATATAAACGTCTGTTTTTTCTGCCATTTTTTTCCTGTTTGACAGATTACTGAATAAAGCATGGTTATCAGCAGAGTGACCATTTCTAACTGTCTCTTTGTGCTTAAAAATTTATTTTGGGATGGGAAACATTCCCCAAACCCAGAGGGTACACTTAATATGCCAGTTTTCATTTGAGAAGAATTACTTTTCAGTTGTAGGTGTTTTGGGATGTAGCCTGACTCAACATCCAGTATTAATGGTCCAAAGATAGAACAGCTGAACTTTCTGACTGCCCTTCTTTGGGAGACATTAGCATGTCCCTGGAGACAGTTTCCCCAGCTCTGGTTACGCGGATCAGTATGTAGGGAAAGCTTATTACTTTTAGAAACGTTCCTCTTGGAGGGCCCTGTCTATTACCCACATCAAATATATGGTACACGTTGCTGTTTTCTTTGCTTTCGAAATGCTTCAGAACTAGCCCCTCCATCTTTCCCTGACTGTAGGGTCCAGGCTGTGGGAACAGATTTTCCATCAGACCACCTTGGGAAATGAAGTGAACTTTTTAGTGGTACATTTAATTCATTAATTGCCCTGTCTCCAGAGCTTCCAGAGATTTTTCTTAAAAACACAATGCCAGTTTTTTAATAGCAATGTTTAAAAAGTCAATGCTTAACTCATTCAGAGAAAAACTCCTGTGACACATTTCCTGGAGGGCATTGGCCTCACCACTTGTTTTTATTAACAATCTATATATACTTGTGGAATTTATCTCTAGATGGAATATTCAGTCTTATCCCTACACTTTCCTCAGACTGAGGCTTTTCATGGTGAGGTTGGTGACTGCACGCCAGAATCAAAAGACCCTCGTGTATGTGCAAAGCGTCTGCTGTGCTGTATGTTGGGTCCTCAGCCTCTTCCTGCTGCTGCCTGGCCTCCTACAATCACTTCACCGTTCCAAATCTTACTTTCCTTCTATTCAAAGGGAGGGGGCTGGAGTTCAACACAGGTTAAGATTTAGAAACTGAGAATATGGAATCATCTTTTGAACACTTTTTCCGTACAGCAGTATTTACCATCTAGTATAAACTTTATGTTGTTTTTAAATATATCTGCTAACAGAACGTAGTGTTCTGTGACACAGATTATGATTTTGTGTTTTAACATTGTACAATCCCTCAGTGAAACAAATTATTTATAAAGCCCAGTATCATCTTCTTTTTTTTTTCAGTTTCATTTATTATTCTGAGCTTAAGCTAAGCTAACATCTTTTTTTTTTTTTAAACATACCAGGACAAAAAATACTATAGAAAGTGCTACCTGATAGAAATAAAATTCAAGCTATACATGCATGCCATATGTTATATAATTTTAAATTTTCAGTGATTATTACACTATAAAAAGTAAAAATGTAACATTAATTTTAAGAATATTTTTAAGTCAATAAATCCCAAATATTAAGCATGTAAAAAATATTAAAAAATTATTGAGACATTTTACATTCCTTTTTCTGTACGACGTCTTCAAAATCCAGTGTACATTTTATACTTCACAGCACACCTCATCTCAGATGAGCCACAGTTCAGGCCTCTGGATCTTGATCGGGAGTTTGCTTTCTTATACACGGAATCCCATATTTAAAAACCACTGTTCTTAACTACGGTTATGGAATCCTGAAGAGGGGCAGCGGTGAGAAAAGAAAATCTGGATGCTTCTGTGATGCCATCTTGATGGATAAGCACTGTATCACTTTCATTGTGGTGATCATGTGACCCTCGCCTTGTGCCTACTGACTCACCCATGGGGCCATAGCCATGCCGTCCCTGCATGTGGAAGGAGTAAGCAGAAGACTCTTCTCAGTCTTCTCCCCAGAGGGAGAGTCTTCAGGGAGGTTTTGGAGTGGCTGTAGCCAGCATCACACACGGATGGACACATTTTACCTTCTAGAATACAGATTGTCCTTGGAGAAAAGCAACCACACAAGAATCACCCTCAGTGACTACTGGGCCCCACTCAAAAGGAGGGCAGCTTACACTCACAGCAAGATCCTGTTGCAACCCGGAGAATCCCAGGATTTCTAAAGTAAAGGACCTAAGAAAGCATCTGGTTGTTGACATAGGATTAACCAAAGAACATAGTCTATACTTTTGGGTCTTTGATTTGTACTAGGCAGAGTCTTTGTACCTGTTCTTTTAAGCAGGTAATTCACAAGTAGGCAGAACCTAAATTGTCAAGTGGGAATTTTGAAAAAACTTTACTCAAGTGCCTCGGCTTCAGACTAAGAATTAATTTCATCATGGAGAGCAGTTTAGCTGCACCTTTCTCTGGGGTTTATCTCACTTAATTCACCAAACTTTACTTGTTCCAAAAACCGTAAAGTCTTTGTTTGAAAGGCATTTCATCAAGATGTATGATATGCTCTTTTTATTCCTAGTGGCAGCAATACAAATAAATTAAACGTTTATAACTTGACCGGTGTGACTAATATCCTGCGTTTTCTGGTGGATACCCTGTCATTCTTTCATCTACGTAGCCTTTTTTCCCCTGGGAATCTCAAAGTCTTTTTGTCTGAACTGGTTGGTTATAGGCATGCTAATTACAGAGATGTGGATGGTGTAACCCCCCTCCAGCTAAAATGGCTTGCCTTTAGGGTCAGCCGTGAGTCAGGTGCAGACCTGGGATCTTAACGCAGAACTCTTGATTTTTTAATTTCTGCTCTAATCTTTAGCTACATAAACATATGAAGAAACTGACTACAGCAGATTATTCCAATACATGTCCAGCTGTCTGAGCAAACAGCCGTAGGGAAGAGCTTACCTCTCACCTCTCTTGGAATCATCAAGCCTTCGAGCAGCAGTTCCTGCCTTATGGTGCCATGTGTGTGTCTGAGGATCAGAGGAATGATAAGAAGTCAAGAGGAAGGGAGGATGGCTGAGTAGAGTGATGCACTTTCTATGCCTCTTTATTAACTGGAATGATGAAATTAAAATTATGCCACTTTTATTGAGGTTTGTAGCATAGCCCAAATTTAAAGAAAATTTTGATTCAAGAAAATATCTTTTGCCAAGAGACTTTCAGAACAAAATTGGTCTACATTTGTAAACTACTTGGGACAGAGAAACATTAGTTTAAGCTTTTAAGTGAAAAATATAAGAAAAGGAACCTACAAAGAATGGTACGGTAGCCCCCTCCTATCCGCAGTTTCACTCTCCACGGTTTCACCTGTCCGCAGTCAACCGTGATCTGAAAATATTAAATGGGAAATTACAGAAATAATTCATAAGTTTTAAATCGTGCACCTTTCTGAGTAGCATGATGAAATCTCACACCATCCCACTTCGTTCTGCCCGGACGTGAACCATTCCTTTGTCCGGTGGATCCCCACTGTCGATGTTCCCCACCCATTAGTCTCTTAGTAGCCTCCTTGGTTATCAGATTGACTGTTGAAGTATTGTAGTGTTTGTGTTCACTGAATCCTTACTTTACCTAATAATGGCCCCATGGTGCAAGCGTTTTGATGCTGGCATATTGTTATCATTGTTCTATTATTAGTTCTTGTTGTTAAGCTCTTACTGTGTCTAATTTTTAAACGATTTATCGTGGATATGTATGCATGGGAAAAAACATCGTGTGTGTACGGTTTGGTATTTGCAATTTCAGGTATCCACCGGGGACTTTGGAACATCTCCCACAGATAAGAGGGGAGAACTGTATAGTTCATTTATTGGCCAGTTATTGTCTCTTTTATATGGACATGCAACTTATGTTTATAACCCTATATTCCCTTAAAATTCTGTGCTTTTGTAAAATGTGTACCAGCTCAGGAGGCTCACCTGCCTCCCATGGAAGCAGGCTTTCATGCTTGCTCTGTGTCCGACTGACTTCGTAACATTAAATGTGTCACTGATGGTTGCTTTAGGAAATTATTTGCCTGGGAAAAGAAATACACCATGTCATAAAACAGAGAGTTCACCTATGTTAGTGAGATGATACCTTCAAAGGTGGAACATTTCTAGAAGGGTTCCTGTCCTGTCACTTCCCTTGTTTCAATACTGTATTGGCCCAAGGTAGGTATTGGTTTGGGATTTCTTAAACAAAACTTCTTTTTAAATATTTTTAGAAAGTTGCTTTTATTCAGAGGTCTCAGTATCTTGCTTTGTGCCAAGTTTGTTTTGTTGGCTTAAATTATGTTAAAATTCAGCTTTGAAAATCAGTACATGGGACCGTGGGGTGCTTGATTTGCTGAAACCCATCCACCAGTTTCTCATCTTCCCCTCATCTGTCATGTGGAGCTTTAGAGTATCAGAGTCTATGCGTGTTGAGTTCAAGTTGATACACATACACTGACACGTGCATGCCAAGCCATCTTCCCCATAAGCCAGTTGTCAAATGGGTAGAGAGATTACACATGCGAAACAGCAAATAATGTTAGAGTGTGTGCTTGCAGACACAAATATATATGCCTGTGAGACAATGACAGAAAAATAAGGAATCCTGGAAGCATACAGACTGACAGTTTTGCAGTGCATCTGAGTTCTCACCCTCCATGGTCTGGGAGAGGAACATGTGCCATCCACCCTTGCCTCCTCTCGGAGGCTGGGGCTGTGTGCAGGGAGCCCCTACGGTGGGTTCTCTGCCCATTTCCTGCTATGTAAAGTGTTATTAGGGAATGAATGGCTGGTGAAAAGGACCTTGCAGCCTGTGCTTTGAGTAGCCTGGGACCGTTGGGAACAGCCGCTTCTGTCTGTGTGATCCGAAGATAGCTCCCAGATGGGAGAGCTCCTACTCCTTTCCTTGTCCTCCCTCCCTGCCCTCTAGCACAAAAGCTTTTGGAACTGCAGGAAACCCCCTGGCTTGCAAACCCAGGACCCGTAGGCTTCACAGGTCTTGTGAATGGCCAGCATTTTGGGCTTCACACCCCACTAACCTCTTGAGAATTTCTTTGAAAAACTAGAGTATCATAGAGATGTGAAAAGAGTTTGATTTCTAAAATCAGTGAGTGCATGTATTCAGATAACCTAGGTTTAAAAAAGGCAATAAAAATTAAAATCTGCTGACTGCAATGACAGAATAATTGCATTTTATTGTGCAAATATCTAATTTGACCCAGGTTATTTTACTTAACAGCAATTAGTGTTTTGGTGTGGGCTAAATAGTACCTGAGAATCCCTAGGATTGTGTTAGTTTCATGGTGCAAAGGCTCACTGCACATTTGGAACTGGCTTACTGAGTCCTGGCACCCCAGCTCTCAATGCTGGCACTTGACTATTTGCAGGAATGGGGAACTGACCACCCACAGAATGGCTTATATGCATATGTAGGATGGCTTATATACATATATACATATGCCATGCAGCCAGCTTTGAAATGTGATAGCACTTCTCTGAGGTCCCTAATGTGCTGCTCAACCTTTAAGACTAATCAACAAAGCTAACAGTTACAGTAATACTTGTCACAAGCATCACTTATTTGGTAGTTTCATGTAAAGATCATTGTATCGTTTTTTGGAACAGCTGTTCTGTGTGGATCTGTGAAGAAAGTCTCGGTGGGTACTTTCCATTTCCATTTGAGCATGTCAGATGGCTTGGACTCAACAGCCACCTGGGCGCTCCTTCTCAGGGACACCTGCATACGTGTTCCCAGATGGCCTATGGGGTTATTGTCACATGCCAGCACCCACAGCTATGTGCTGGCCCCACATGCAGATGCACAGGTACCTTTGAGGTCCCACCTACAAGCCAGCACCCACAGCTATGTGCTGGCCCCACATGCAGATGCACAGGTACCTTTGAGGTCCCACCTACACGCCAGCACCCATAGCTATGTGCTGGCCCCACATGCAGATGCACAGGTACCTTTGAGGCCCCACCTACACGCCAGCACCCACAGCTATGTGCTGGCCCCACATGCAGATGCACAGGTACCTTTGAGGTCCCACCTACACACCAACACCCACAGCTATGTGCTGGCCCCACATGCAGATGCACAGGCACCTTTGAGGTCCAACCTACACGCCAGCACCCACAGCTATGTGCTGGCCCCACATGCAGATGCACAGGCACCTTTTAGGCCCCACCTACACGCCAGCACCCATAGCTATGTGCTGGCCCCACATGCAGATGCACAGGCACCTTTGAGGTCCCACCTACACGCCAGCACCCACAGCTATGTGCTGGCCCCACATGCAGATGCACAGGCACCTTTGAGGTCCCACCTACACGCCAGCACCCACAGCTATGTGCTGGCCCCACATGCAGATGCACAGGCACCTTTGAGGCCCCACCTCTAATGACACCGGCCAGTGCCCTCGGCACCAGGGGTGAGGCCCAGTGTGGAAGAGCTTTGCAAGGCTTTCCCCTGGACCTCACAGCTGCCCTGAGAATAAGTGCTCGCTGCCCAAAGGAGGCATCGCTTGGTTAAGTAGCTTGCACAGAGCACATGCAGGTAAGTCGCTGGGATGGAGTTTGGATCTCATGTCATGGATGCCAGAGCTTGTGCTGTTCTTACTTGCTTGGGCCATGCTACCTCTATCCATCTTTTCTGCCCTTATCCCCTTTCTTCTGCTTCCCCTCTTCTTTGTTTTGCAACACATTTTTCCTACCATTATCTCCCTTTTAAGGAACTTAACGTTGCCTCTGAGAATTGTTGACGTTGCCCTTTGTCAACCATGTGACACTGGGGACAGGTCCATCTCATGCACTCCTTCTGCCACCCCCAAGGAGGGAACAGGGCTTTGTCAGCAGTCAAAGCTGCTGTGCTGGGGGCTCCTGGCTATGTGCGAGGCATCATGCTAGGCCCAGTGAAGCCTGCAGTGAGGTATTAAGTGGGCACCACCCTGAGCCCTAACTTGGCCAACAGGAAGGTACTGCGCATTGCTGGTGTGGGAGCCGGCGAGTCACTGTTCTGACAACCCACGCTCAAGGACACAGCAGTGAGCACAGCACTCTACTATCGGCTCTGTCAGGAAAGCCTGGCCGGAAAGGAAACAAATTCGTTCGTTAAATGGACTGACCCTTTTGTCTTTGCTTAATGGAGTAACTTTGCCTTCTTTTGACTTATTCTGTCTGCCTGCAAAAAGGAAATCTGCTCTCATTTAATGGACTATCAGTTGTTGGTGTTGCCGAGGAGGGGGCAGTCCTCCTGGCCTTTGCTCTCAGGAAGGACAGACGGCCACACAGAGCAGCCCCCGAATGCAAATGAGAGTCCTGATTAACAGTAAGGCCCCCAGGGTTTCCTCCTTTTCCCAGAGATAAGGCTGGGGCTTCCTACCCTGCCACAATCAGCCAACTGTTTCAGGAGCCATTTTCTCTCCTCTGTGATTACATTTATTTTGTCTGGTACAATTTCGTGTTATTTAAATCTTAGGGTTTTAAAATGGCTTTCTCAGAAGCCATTCTCTTCTGAACCGCTTGTCCCGTGCCCCTGGAAGTCTGGAGGGCCTGTCCTGACATCACGTGCTCAACATTCAACAGCGCTTTTCTGTTCCAAGCTTGCCTTCCTCCCCTAAGCTGAAATAAATCAAAGTTGGTTGGGACTCAGTCGCAATAAATCAAGACCTGTCCAGAACTGGAGCCTGCCCAGTCAAAATGTCATAGCTTGGCTTTCACTGAGGATTAATTAAAGGCCTAATATAAAGCCCAGATGTGCTTCAGGAGAGTAGCAAGCTGCCTGGTGGCTGCATCTCCCCAGGTTCCTGCCCACCCAAGAATATGGAGGAGGACAGAAAGGCATCCAGGGTTGGGAGGGCACTGAGGGGAGGGAGGCGCCCGTAAGCACATCTGAGTGAACTTTATCTAGTTTGGAGAAAACAGGACAAGCTTTCCAGCAAGGCAAGAAGAAAAATCTATGTCAGACTGTGTGTGTACAGTATTTAAAGGGAAGGAACATGTAATATATCAGAAGGTGTGCTTTAATTGAGGAGACAAAAGAAAATGAACCAAGTAAAGAGGTTTCATTGTTTTAAAAAAATGCAGTGAGATTTATGCCTGGTTCCTGCTGAACCTGTAAATTGTTTAGAGCAGAGAAGCTGTGTAGATGAAATGCTTTTGAGATATTTTTATTCACAGAAAGTTGAATTAGACGAGAATAGCTTTTGGATTAGGACTTATCCAGGTCTTCCTTTAGTTCCACACAATTCCATGTACTCAACAAAAGGGTGCCTAATTAAATTCCGATTGAAGAAATTCATATGAAAAGCAATGTGCAACATTAATTCTCCGTATGTGCAAAGTACTGCATTTGAAGTAGGAAACAAGAAAGTGTATAATTCAAAACCCTATATCGTGATCATATTATATGACTTTAAAGTTAAATTTTACCACTATTTGTAGAAATTTGATTCTGAAGTTGGGAAAAGAAGACATCATCAAAGACTAATAAATCCACAATCTTTTTTTGTGGTAATGTGTATACTTTCCTTCCCTGAATATCTGTAAATCAGCTATGTAGAAACTTTGTAAATAAAACAAAGTGAATCTCCTGATTGCTGTGCAATTTATAATAGACACATTTGATGCAAATAATTGGAATCTTTTGATAGATATAAATAGGCTTTTTGTGACTAGGAGGGCTTGCTATTATACAGCCTATCTTTATATTAACATTAAGCTTTTATCCATGGAAAATTCAACTTTCCCCAGAAGATGTTACTTCCTCACAATGTTATATTGATGTTTAAATTCTAGACCTGAAAATTTTGTTAATAAACAATAGTTTATGTGCTGAACAGATTTAAGAAAAATATTATGGTTTAATTTGAGTGATCAGAGTGTTTTTACCTGTTATTTGACCCAGATATTTAAATGTACAATCATATTTACTTGTAAGGAATTTTTAGAAGTCCACTGGCCTTTTAATAGTGACATTGTGAGTCGTCATATATAGCGTCTTACTATTTTTTTATCCTATATTCACCTTATCTTGTGGTTGAAGTATCAATTTAAATGAATTTTAACATAGCTGTGCGATATCCCAGAAACAGGAATTTCACCTATTTTCCAGATGTGCTACACATTTCTATTGAGATTACTGAGGACTGGTAGATCATTTTGGGTTATTAAGGATCTAGCAGCATGATACTTTGTTTTTTAAGGCCTTTCCTCTAGGACCCTTTACTTATTTTAGTCAGTAATCTAGAAAAAATAATTTACTACAAATTTACATTTCCATTAGTTCAGATAATTTATGTTTTTAGAAGGGTTTCTGTGTCATGCTTTATTACTTAGTCCATAAATAACTTTTGTATTTACCATTGCCTTTTATTCTATATTTTAGTTTTAATAACATCAAGTGAGAATGAATGGCCTAGGACAATGTGTCTCCAGAATGAGGACTAGATTTTAAGAGCAAGGAAATTTAGATAAATAAGCTTGCCCCATTGCCGATTTTAAATACTCTTGCATACTTAATTCTCAATGTGCAGAATTAATTACACACTTCTAGAACTTTGAGCCAGTTGGCATTTGGTAAATGGCACAGCGTATGTGATATTTCACCCCAGATTTTCGCATCCATTAGGTTGTTCTTTTGTATTTTAATTTTGAAGTATTTTCGTGTTTAAATAAAGCTGTATCCTTTACCATTGCGCAGAAGTCATCTGAGCACCCACAGTAGCCCTTTTCCCTGTCTCCCCTCTGTGTGTGTGGTCTCCATAGCAGTAACTGATTACTTATTGTTTATGTGTTTCCCTATTCAGATGGATGACTGGTTTGTTAAGGGCAAGAATGCATGTTTCATTTTGTTTCTTCAGCGTCTAACTTAGTAACAAGCACATAGGATGAGCTCAGTATACACTGAATGAGCAAAGGCTGGCCTGTGTCTTTTCAGACTAGTTAGGGACAGTTTGGTGAGTCATTGCCATGACATATCAAAGGCCACAGTAGAGTTCTCTGAGCTTCAAAAAAAAAGCCTTGTGGGAAAGAGCAACAAAATTCTCCTAGCATATAAGAATTTTTGGAAAATGTGTTAACTCTTTGTATTTGGATCCCTTTTATTTTGTGGAAACCATAATATGGGGTCTTCAACTGATCTGAAGGAGTTACTGCAATTCCTTAAAATAGGTGGCCTGACCTCCTAATAGAATCTTTTTCATTATATATTTTTTCTTTTCTATGTTTTTTTTGTTACAATGGGATGAAAAGCTGACTTAACAGACCTAATGTAGTTTTGATCAATGTGAGCAAGAACATCTCGTTACCAAGCCCAAGTAGTAACACGTTGTTAAAATTCAGAAAAGGCTGACTTTAAGAGCTTGCCATAGTCAACATCAGAATTATGTTCCACGGTCGTGGAGAGAAACGTATCGTAATTAGCACAGGCCATCTCTGTAGCCCGGAATATTGGGCACCATGTGGCGACTCCAGGCATGCTTGCCCCCAGGAGCTGAGAGCCGGGAGCCACGGAACCAGGGAGCCACATCTAAAAGGCTCACTGGAAAGCAGGTGCAGGCACCCAAGGGCTGCTTACGCTCTGCTACCAGCGCTTCGCCGTTCTCTGACGTGGATGGTTGCTGAAGACATGCCTTTCTTGCTAGTAAATGTATTAGGAAGTGGCCTGGGAAGGAAAAAGTTGCAGCATAACTACTTTCTCCCTTGCGTGGTAGTGAGTTAGCGCGACATGTTGGCATAACTGAGTCGTCTGAAACACTGTGAGTGATATCATCGAGAGTGCTTTTTTGCAGTTAAGGGAACATACATTTTCAAAGTATAACATTTTAGACTAGAAGGTACACTTAGAAATTGTCTACTCTGATTAGATGTGGAAATGAAGACTGAAATAAGTCACTGATTTATCCAGTGTCGGAGAGCCAGAATGAAGTAAAATGACCCAGCAGCTTCTCTGGCTACTGGTTTTTCCTTTTCACTATGCCAAACTGTCTCTTCTTGTCACATTATTTGAAAGATTAGTAGAAGTTGGCCATAAAACTTCATGACTAGTTTCTGAAAATACATCAAGCCATGTGCTTGTGATATGTGTACTTTTTAATTTGTATATTATACTTCAGTAGAAGTTATCTTAAAAACTTCATGATTTATGAAATTTGACATCAGACTTAACAGCAGGGGCTCTTTATCAACACATTTTTAATCGTAATAAAGGCTTAGGTCTTAAAGTTGAAGTGGTTATAAAAAGATGGATTTCATTGGTGCTTGTGTGTTATGTGCTAGCATATCAGACATTTTAAAATTTTTTCCTGCACGCATTGTTGACGGTGTTCACTGTAGACTCTGCATGATAACGCCTCAGATTGTGAAATTTTAGCAGCATCTGCTCAGGAGCTGCCTCTACCTGCGTGGCCATCCACACCTACCTCTATGTTGGAACTCCATGGAGGTCACCCCACAACCCTAGTTTCTCCCCGTCCAATGAAGAAGGCTCCAGAGCGATGCCTCTGACCCAGATAAGGCTCCCTGCTCCTCCAAGCTTGACTTTCTAGGGAAGGGACAGTTCATGTAGAAAATAGAGTGACTTAAGCCTTGAACGTTGACTCAGAGTGTGTAGGCAGATGTGTGGACTTTTCAGCAGCTAACAACACGGTGCCCTGTGGAAGGTCTCCACGTGGCCTTAGAGTGGCGACTGTGTTCTCTTTAGTGTGTAGGCAGATGTGTGGACTTTCTTCAGCAGCTAACGACAGGGTGCCCTGTCGCAGGTCTCCACGTGGCCTTAGAGTGGCGACTGTGTTCTCTTTAGTGTGTAGGCAGATGTGTGGACTTTCTTCAGCAGCTAACGACAGGGTGCCCTGTTGCAGGTCTCCACGGGGCCTTAGAGTGGCGACTGTGTTCTCTTTGCTCTACTCCTTCACTGCCAAATTCCAAATGATGCAGCGTTTCATAAAGATTAGGTCATGTTTACAAAACAGTGTGAGCTAAGTTTCCACTGAAGCCTTAGGAGATTGTTTTTTGGCTTTGAAATGTAATATTTTTTATAGTGAACTTATTAAAACTACTACTTTCTTCCATAATCTCCTGGAATGGCCCACCGGCTTTCTCTCTTGGTTCATTGCAGCTATAGCACCAGGCTTTCTTGACGAAGGTCTTCTCTCTTGAACGGAGTCTACTCCTTAAAAAGTTCCATGGGTCACCTTTATTCCACTTTGCCATATCAAGCATTGTAACTGCTACTCACTTTAGTCCCCTTAGCCAGGACGCGTGGGGACCACGGTCTTACATTTTCTCCTAGTAATAAAGTTAGATATTACTAATTATGCCAGTGCATTCTGATGGATCAAAGCATGCAGGAAAAAAAAAAAACACAAATCAAAACAAACACTGATAACATTTAAATCTGACATTCTAAGTAAGATTGGAGAAGAAAAATAACACCATAAATGACTATCTAATTATTTACCATGTGCCTGGTGTGTTCACAAGAGATATCTTACCAGCTCCCCAGACAGACGGGCAGGATGGATGGAGAAAAGGAGGAAGAGGGAGAGAGGAAAGCAGGAAGAAAGGAAGCTTTCTTTCTAACTTTATTCTCCCATTGCCACTTCTATTATTCTTAGCACAGAGGAGCATTTATAAGGCAGGCGAAAGCTCATGAAGCACTGTTATGTACATTATTTCATTTCCTTTTATGACATTTATCGCCGTTGTAATTAATTCATTATTTGTGTAATCCATGATGTTCTTTATTGTTGGCTGTAAGTTCCGTTAGGGCAGGAGCCCCGTCAGTCCTGTTCATTGGAAATCCCCAGCCACTGGCACACTTTCTGGCCCAGCATAGGTGGGAAGGAATATCTCTTAGATCAATACACGCTGGGATTTGATTCTCACAGCACCTTCCTTTAGAGTGTCATCTCCCCGCAGGAAGTTGTTCTGATCCCCCATATTACATTGGCATCTCATTCCCAAGCTTGCATTGGATCCTGTTTTTTATTTTGTAACTGACAGGACACTTGTGGTTAGTTGTTCAAAGTCTTTCTTCCATGCTAGACTGTGAGGTCAGGAGGGCTTGACTGGTGTGCAATTTTTCACTGCTGCGCCCCTACAGACTTAGGAACTGGTAAATGCCCTCCAAACAAGGAGGGTGGAAACTATTATTTTGCCCATATTATAGAAAAGGAGGTTGGACCCTAGGAAGCGAATGGGCTGACTGTAATCACATCACTTGTATGAAACATACTGGCACCAGAGCTGTCTATACCTGCAAGCATGAGTTTCCTCATCTTAAAGAGACTCAACTAGGCAGTTTCTAAGGTATCTTGCAATTCTGATTTTTAAATTGCCAAATAATTTTATTTAGAAGGTGATTTTCTTTAGCAAAATTTAGTAAGTTTTATGATGGCCTGAAGCCAGGGGAAAGGCCTCCAGGGTCTCTTCCGGGGTGGGATTTGCCACCCAGTGGAGAACCCTGAGCAGAAGAGGGTAAGGGAGGCCAGGGTAGGTGTCCAGGATGGCAAGGGAGGCCAGGGTAGGTGTCCAGGATGGCAAGGGAGGCCAGGATAGGTGTCCAGGATGGCAAGGGAGGCCAGGGTAGGTGTCCAGGATGGCAAGGGAGGCCAGGGTAGGTGTCCAGGATGGCAAGGGAGGCCAGGGTAGGTGTCCAGGATGGCAAGGGAGGCCAGGGTAGGTGTCCAGGATGGCAAGGGTGGCCAGGATAGGTGTCCAGGATGGCAAGGGTGGCCGTGGAGTAGATCCAGCCTGTGGGACTCATTAGATAACCTCAGTTATCAGGAGCTTCTTTTGCATGAAAGGCTGTCTAGGGATCATTCAGCATTGGACAGGTCATGTCGAGGGATGAAAAGAGGTTGGTTAATGAGTACGTACATAGAGGTAGCTAGAAGAAATAAGTTCTAGTGTTTGATTGCACAGTAGAATAACTATTGTTAAGAATAATTTATCGTGTATTTCAAAGTAGCTAAAAGAGAAATGAGATGCTCCCAACTCAGAGAACTGATAAATGTTTGAGGTAAAGAACATTCTTGGCCACTCATTTTCAGTCTTTATTACAAACTTTGTTTCTTCAGATTGTCCCTTAAATATTGGCAAGATATACAATTTGTCCAGGTCCCAAAGCTAGAGGAGACAGAACCTGGACTCCACGCAATTTAACCATGCTCTCAACCCCACATTAAGCTCCCTTTCCAGGATGCCATCCTCAGCCTCTGCTATGGGCTGAATTTTGCCACCTAACCCCAACCAAAATTCAGATGTTGAAATGCTAACCCCCAGTACCTCAGAATGTGACCGTATTTGGAGATAAGTTATTTAAACAGGTGATTAATTTAAAATGACCATTAGGGTAGGGACCTATCCAATAGGACTGGTGTCCTCATGAGAAGAGGAAGAGACCCCAGGAGTACGTGCACACTGAGGAAAGGCCATGTGAGGACACAGGGAAAAGGCAGCCATCAGGCAGCCAAGATGAGGCTTCAGGAGAAACCAAACCTGTGGCGTCTTGATCTTGGATTTCCAGTCTGTGGTGCAGCAGGTACAGCAGCCCTAACCAGCTAAGCAGCCTTCGCCTCCCTTGTCCAGACCTCTTTGTTCACCTGCTGCTCCTCCCGAATCTCCCACCTTTGTTGATATGAGCTCCATGTACATTGTTGTCTTTGCCCCAAAACTGGGAAATCAGCCTAGAGTCCTGCCCTCGTCTTCCCTACAACACCAACAGTGAGCCCTGTCCTTCCCAGAGACATCAGTCAAATCCCTGTCTCCCTGTTCATCCCTATTATATCACCTGTGATTTGTAACCTTGTTATCTTAACCGGAAAAAGACTCCCAGTCAGTCTGTCTGCAGTGTAGACGCTTGATGGCACTTGTGTTTGTCAATCACACTTTGATGGGACAGAGTCTACACCACCATCCAGAAGGTAATCCTGCCCATGTATTCCTTTGTTCAGATTTCTTCACGATGAAATCTAACTTTGATACAACCCCTGCAGCACACCAACACCTTCATGATCTGACTCTGCTCCCGCCTCACATGGGTCCTGCCTCACATGGCCCTCACCTGACACCCCCTCTCCTCCCAGCACCGAGCCCCCTTCCCCGCTGTCAGATTCCCCGGATTTGTCAGTCGTCTATACTTTCTTACATGCTTTCCCCACGTTCTGAAGTCACCTTCTCCTTTGCCCATTTGTCCACTCTAGTTCCCGCCAGACTTTGAGGTCCTTCGTGTGAGGACTTTGTCCTTCCCTCTTGTTATTCTCACCACTTGTTTGCAGTAAGTTCCTCAAGAATGTTATGGAGTAAATAAACAAACATGTCCCAAAGGCCTTAGCTCAGTGCTTCTCTAAAGGCAGCAATCTTGCCCCCAGGGAACGTTTCCAATGTCTGGCGACAGTTTTTAGGGGGAGTGCACATATCTAATGGGTTGAGGCCGAGGATGCTGCTGAACATCCTCCGATACACAGGGCAACAATGAATGGTCCAAGCTAAAAGGCCAGTAGTGCCAAGTTTGAGAAACTCTGCCTTAGCTCCAGCCCTTACATAATCATCCTCAAGCCAAGCTCTCTGCTCCCCCAATCTGCTTGTGCCTTTATTGGAGCCCTTAGGAAATTCCTCTTTTTCCTTTTCCATATTCTTCATTAGATTGTGCTCCTGGAGGTCAGGAACGATGAATCACTCAGCTTTGTAGCTTCAGTGCCTGCACTGTGGCTCGGTAAGTAATAGTTGAGTAGAAGAATGGATAGGGAAAGAAAGGAGTAGGAGAAGAAGCTGATGGCATATTTCACCGCTTTATGTTTTAAACTTAGGTCAGCTCTGGATCTGTCTCTGTATCTGGTGGTTCTGGTTAGAAACAAAGAGAGGGGCCAAGTGGTGAGTAAACTGAGAACTATGTACAAAACCTATTGGGCAGGATACTAGTTTCAAACTGACAGGGCATAACTGGCGTGCATGTTCATTTTGTTACACATTTCTATTTGATAATGACCAGAGTTTACATAGAAGGTGGGAAGAATAATCATGTAAAGCACGTCTGTTCAATAAAAGATTCTTTAGTGATAGAAATGTTCTTTATCAGTGCTGTTCAATACAGTATCCCTGGCCACACATGTGTATTGAGCACTTGAGTGTGGCCTATGCACATGAAGAGCTCAGTTTTTAATTGTATCATTTTAATTGATATTATCTTAAATGGTCATATGTGGTCACTGGTTACCTTAGTGGGCAATGCATAGCTGAAGTCTGTTTTTTGGCTGACCCCACTACACATGATAGCTTGGCAGTGTTTTGTTAAGCTTACTATAGTTCATTTTGACCAGAGGAAGATAACACAAAGGTTTAAAAGAAAATGCAGCGGAGAAACGGTTCATCTTTCCAAGAAACCCTAGTGTTCTGAGTCACATCATGAGTAAATGGTGGACGGAAGGCAGGTTTAGCTGGGCAGTCATCAAAAATCATGAAGGGCAAGCAAGCCAGGTACCACACCCTCAGGCACTCCCCAAACTCGTTGCCCATCGGATAAAGTTAGTCCAAGTGCCAACTCCTGCCACAACAATGCCTTATAAGGACTCTTAAATCCTGTCTGACCTTTGAACAGGTTCAGAGTGTGCTGTGTTCAAATGGGAAGGAATATAAAGTAATTCTAGAAGATATCCAACCGGTTGATAAATTGTAGACCCTAAAGGGGGAAAAAGAACATCTTTTGTCTGGAATTTACTTTGAGGGGATGTGATTTTTGAGGGTAAGATTTTCAGTAGGTAATAAAGTAAAATCCCGTACCTCAACTAATAACTATTTCCTAAATGTCTGTTGCTTTAATCTTAGTGTCTATAGACAATGGGGCCATACCTAAGAGTACTTTTAGATTTAACCTCCAAACTCCATGGAGCTCAGTCTTTTGTATAAAACAGAATTTTTTAAAAAAATGATTGTATTACCATCCCATTTCTCTATAATGCTTTTGACAAAATATCCTGTGGTACTTGATTTACATTTATTCCCTTACTGGATATCTGATTGTGGAAATTAAAAAATAGGTATAACATCTCACTCTCTATGTAATAAGACACATTTAGGTGAAAATGAGATAAACGGGTGCTCTCACTTTGAAACTGTAAAGAAAGCACTAAACAGCATTTAAGATATTTAATACCAGTATTCATTATTGTTCTCTTAATGTTTTAATATTATGAAATGTTTTAATATTAAAATTAGGTGGTTACTTAAGGAAGGAATAATTTTCCATAACACTGTCCTAATAAATACCCCTATAATATAAAACATAAAATAAATACCTATAACACAAAATATGAAATATACGTCTAGTATAAAGGACTTTTTGCTTGTAACTACACCATCATTCTTCCATTGGAATTCCCCATAGCTTTTCTTAGAGTGGCAGTAAGATCAGATTAGAAGTGTGAGTAAAATATTATTGCAATCAATTAAAGCATTAGGCTCATAAATTGATCAATAACTTTTTGAGAACATGATAGGTCGTGATTTCATTTTGTTGAAGAAAAATGTGATAGCTAAGATGAAAAGACATGTTTATTTTTGTGTCAGGTGTTCTGTGATTAGTTAATTAAATATTTTCATCAGTTCCGGTGACCTCTTGTCTCTCAGCTGCATATTGACTTTCCCAACTGTGCCTTCCATCCTTCTGGCTGCAGTAAGAGAAACCAGATTTTCCTCAGCCCCTCCAGGCTCTTTCTTATCTAACTCAGGAGCGCCTCCTGCCAGCGGGGCTGGGCAAAGAACAGACCCAGAGGTCTCCATTTTTGTAAAAAGGTTCATGGCAGGTCGGTTATTTTTCAGTATATTTTTTAAAGGCGTGGTTGAGCTAATTTAATTTCTTCTGTTCATTAATTTCTCTCCTTTCACCTCCACCCCCTCTGAATAAACGGCCCTTCACACGAGTCCAGTGTAGCTTCAATACACCTTATTCACACTGCCTTTTATTGCAGCTGCATTCCAGCCAGCTGGAGGTGGCCTGGCTGCCTCAGCTTTCCCGATTTAGCTCTGGAAATGACTTCAGCATGGCAAAAACGTTTCACTGGCCAATTTGGAAAACAGGATTCAATTTGTGAAGAAAGCTCAAAATGGCAACTGAGAATGAAAAAGAGGATGGAGAAGGTTGCGGCAGCAAAGCAGTAAGGGAACAGAGATGGGCCGGGTGCAGTGGCTCACACCTGTAATCCCAGCACTTTGGGAGGCAGGCGGATCACCTAATGTCAGGAGTTCGAGACCAGCCTGGCCAACATGGTGAAACCCTGTCTCTACTAAAAATACAAGTTAGCTGGGCATGGTGGTGGGCACCTGTGATCCCAGCTACTCAGGAGGCAGAGGCAGGAGAATGGCTTGAACCCGGGAGGTGGAGGTTTCAGTGAGCTGACATCGCGCCACTGCACTCCAGCCTGGGTGACAGAGTCAGACTCCGTCTCAAAAAAAAAAAAAAAAAAGAAAACAAAAAACCAGAGATGAGAAACTGTTGTTCTCTGCTCATGCTCCTTCCTTCTTCCCAGCTGGGCCCCCATTTCCACTCTCTTAAATTGAGGTCAGGTGGGAAGGAGGTGGATGGGGAAGCTGCAGCCGAAAGCCAGTTCTTTGCCTTGCACTTTCGTTGCCCTCTTTGGGACTTCTCTTCCTGGCCCTGGCTTAATTACGGGACTGATATAAACAAGGAGCTAGTGTGGAACTCTGCACAGGCCGCTGGAGAGGACCAGGCAGCAGTTGCCAGGACTGGGTTCTGTGCAGCGGTCTTATCTGGGAGCAGCCATAAGAAGGGAAACTGCAGCTGCAAGTCAGAATGCGTGTCCAGTCACAGTAGGCCAAGGCATTGGCTGTTCCATTGACACAGCTAGGGGTAAAAAGTGGTAACACCTTCTTTTTTGCAAACACTGTGAACCTAAAGCCACCCTGATAAATTTGTGTCTGTCTGTTAGATCCAATAGTTAATTTTTAAGTAATTCATATAGGGAGTTAAAAGCTTAATTAAGGCTGGGTGTGGTGGCTCATGCCTGTAATCTCAGCACTTTGGGAGCCAAGGCAAGTAGATCACCTGAGGTCAGGAGTTTGAGACCAGCCTGACCAATGTGGTGAAACCCCATTTCTACTAAAAATACAAAAATTAGCCAGGCATGGTGGTGTGCACCTGTAATCCTGCTACTCAGGATGCTGAGGTGGGAGAATCACTTGAACCTGGGTAGTGGAGGTTGCAGTGAGCCAAGATCATACCACTGCACTCCACCCTGGGCAACAGAGCGAGATTCCATCTAAAAAGAAAAAAGCTTAATTAAAAGTGGATTTATGGTAGTGGGTTTTGGTAACAGATTTGTTACTGAAATGCATTACAGACAGGCAGATTCCAGATTCCCAAGGCTGATGGATTTCAAGTCTAGGGAAGACATATTTCTAGGTAAAAGCTGTATGTGTATTGTGGCTTTCTCTTTGGATATATATTTCAGTCTCCCCCGAGAGAAAAGAAATGTCATATTTAAGTAGGAACATACTTTAATAATAGGTGCTACTTACATCTCTACTATGTTGTTTCTGTTATGTGGGATTTGTGGTATAAAAATAAGCAAGTATATTATTTATAGTTTTTTTCTTAAGAGAACACTAAATTTTGAATAATTTCAAAAGCCTATGCTACCTTCAGAAGTTAAGCATGGATCCTAACAATTTATATGGCGTAACTACTGAATGTTTACAGTCGATGGGATTTGTGGAGTTCTGTGGCCTCCTTGGCAATTTCAGCATGTGGAAGAGGTGTTGATATTGTCATATGACCTCAGCCCTGGATCCTCATCTGTCTTCTAGCTCAGTGGTTATCAAACTTCTAGTGTGCATAGGAATGACCTGGTAGTCTTGTTAAAACACTGATTTTGGTCTTCACTCCCAGAGGTCTCATTTAGTAGATCTGGGTGGGACCCACGAATGTGCATTTTTAACAAGTTCCCTGGAGATACTGATGCTGCTACTCTTGCTCCCACATTTTAAGAATGACTGCCCTAGCGGTTCGTCCTCTTCTTGACCTAACACTAAGGAAGTGGTAACCAAGTTTTAAAAATTAGCCTCTCTTGTTAAATTAGGAGATCAAGTACTTAATACTAAGTGGCAGTTTCTTTTAAATAACTTGGAAATTTTTGAATCCTCCAGGACTGCCCCTGTTTTCCAAATTAGCATAATCTACTCTGGAAGTTCAGGGATTAGGCTAGAATATGAATGGGCTGGGCTCTTGTTCTGACACAGCCATTCATAGCACCAGCTTATTTCTTATCCCAGCACATTAAACTCCTCTTCTCTGGCCACTAGCTGTATAGTAGGTTGGATTTGGACAGCACAGTATGCCCATTTAGACATGAATTTATTTCTCAGCCCTTCTGAAGACAGCAGTAGTGAGGATTTGATTTGATATAATGACACTGAAAATGGAAAGGAAAGGATGAGTGAAAACAACCTGTAGAAATGGAAACCACGTGGTTTGACTAATGCCTGTGTGGGGGAGGCACAGGAAAGGAACGAATCAAAGATGGCTTTATGTATCAGACCAGGAGAATAGATGGCAATACCAGTAAAAATCAGGAGTTGGCTTTGTGAAAGAAAATAAGGTTGATTTTTAAAATATAAGCCCATACATTTGTAATTGGTTGATTTTCAACAATGGTACCCAGACAAATCAGTGGGGAAGGAACGTCACAAAAATTAACTCAAAATGGATCCTAGCTGGAAATGTAAGTGCTAAAATTGAGGCATCAACTGTTCACATTGACACGGCTGGGGTAAAAAATAGTAACACTTTCTTTTGAAAACACCATTGAACCTTAATCCACCCTGCTAAATTTGTGTCTGTTATTTTTAAGTAATTCATATGAAGTGTTAAAAGCTTAATTAAAAGTGGATTTATTGTGGGCTTTGGTAAAAGGTACATTACAGGCAGATTCCAGATTTCCAAGGCTGATTGATTGAAAACACAGGTGAGAGATACTCTTCTTGAACTTTAATTAGACATAGCCTTCTTAGATATATAACACCTAAAGCACAAGCAACAATGGAAAAAATAGATAAAATGGACTCCATCAAAGTTAAAAACTGTTCTGATAGCACACCATCAAAAAAGTAAAAAAGCAGCCTACCAAATGGGAGAAAACATTTGCAAGTCATATATCTGATAAGGGGCCAGTATCCAGAATATATAAAGAACTCTTACAACTCAAGAATAAGAAGACAGCCTAATTAAAAATAGGCACAAGACTTAAATAGACATTTCCCCACAGAAAATATTCAGCCGACATGAAAGGACATGCACGTGAAAAGATGTGCCGCACCATTAGTCATTAAGGAAATGCCGCTCAAAACCACAGGGAAATACCACTTCACCCCCACTAGACTGGCTGTGATAAAAAAGACAGACTGTAACAAGTATTGGCGATGACGTGGAGATGTTGGAACCCTCGTGCATTGATAATGTAAGACAGCTTAGCCACTTTGTAAAGCAGTTTGACAGTTTCTCGGTGTTCAAGAAAGGCACATATTTAAGATAAATGAAAACATACTTCCACATGAAAACTTGCACAGGGATCCTAGTGGCAGCATTATTCACAATAGCCAAAAAGTGGAACTTTTGGTAGAATGATGTCCATTAATTCATAAATGGATAAATAAAATGTAATTCATCCATAATACGTCATATTATTCAACCATAAAAAGCACTAATGGACACTGCAATGTGGATGAACCTGGAAAACATTATGCTAAGTAAAAGAAGATAGACCCAAAAGGCAACATATTATATGATTCCATTTATATGAAATGTCCAGAACACAAGAATCCATAGACACTGAAAGTACACTGTAGTTGCCGTGGGCTAGGTACCAGAAATGGGGAACGACTGCTAATGGGTACAGTGTTTCTTTTTGGGTGATGAAGTATTCTAAACTTAGATCGTGGTAATGGTTGTGTGACTCCCTGAGTATACTAAAATCAATCTGTTTGTATGTGAATTATATATCAATGAAGATTTTTTTAAGTAGTAAAAATCTTAAGAAACCAAGAATAAATGCCAGGGTAAAATCCAGTGGACGTTTGGAACTTGGGAGAGAGGTCTGTGCCAGAGGGAAACGTGAAGTTCCTTGCATGGAAGAGTAGTCGAAGCCGTGGAAGTGAACCAACTGTCCAGGGAGAATGTGGAGGGAGGGAGAGCAGTGAAGTTGTTGGAATGCAGAACCTGGGAGCACGGCTCTTTTTTTAAGGACCAAGAAGAAGGTAGAAGAATGATTGAGAGATAAGGAAGAAACCAGGATGGCACAGAATAACGAAAGTGAAGGAAGAGAGGCAGGTTTACAGAATGGGCAGTCACAAAGGGAAATGCTATGGAATGACTCAACGAGCCACTGAGTTTGATGTTTGGGAGGTCGCTGTTTTTCATATAGATCCAGTGGAGGTGGAAGCCACATACAAAGTTTTAATGAGTGTGTGGAGAATGAGTGAAGGCTTAAGGAAAGTAGCATAGTCAGCCCTTTGTTTTTACACGTTCCGCATCCATGGATTCTACAATAAAAAATAACAATACAGCAAAATATATACATATATATTTTTAAATACTGACCAGGTGCAGTGGTTCATACCTATAATCCCAGCCCTCCTTTGGGAGGCCTAGTTGGGAGTACCCAAGGCCATGGGGGCCCACCTCTTGCATTAGTGTGACCTTGATGTGAGACATGACGTCAAAGGAGATTATTTTGGAACATTAAGGCTTAATGACCACCCAGCTGATTTCAGACTTGAATGGGACCTGTGTCCCCTTTGTTTTGGCCAATTTCTCCCATTTAGAATGGGAACATTTACCCAATGCCTGTACCCTCATTGCATCTTGGCAGTAACTAACTTGCTTTAGATTTTGCAGGCTTCTAGGCAGAAGGGACTTGCCTTGTCTCATATGAGACTTTGGACTTGGACTTTTGGGTTAATGCTGGAATGAATTAAGACTTTGGGGGATTGTTGGGAAGGCATGATTGGTTCTGAAATGTGAAAGGGACCTGAGATTTGGGAGAGACCAGGGGCAGAATGATATGGTTAGGCTTTGTGTTCCCACCCAAATCTCATCTTGAATTATAATCCCCATAATCCCCTCGTGTAAGAGAGAGACCAGGTGGAGGTAACTGGATGATGGGGGTCGTTTCCCCCATGGTGTTCTTTCGATAGTGAGTGAGTTCTCACGAGATCTGATGGTTTTATAAGTGTCTGGTCATTCCTCTGGCATTGTCCTTCCTGCCGCCTTATGAAGAAGGTGCCTTGCTTCCCCTTCACCTTCCACCATGATTATAAGTTTCCTGAGGCCTCCCCAGCCTTGCTGAACTGTGAGTTGATTAAACCTCTTTCCATTATAAATTACCCAGTCTTAGTAATTATAGCAGTGTGAAAACATACTAATATGGGGAGGATAGCTTGAGCCCAGGAGTTTGAGACCAGCCTGGGCAACACAGCAAGACCCTCATCTCTTCAAAAAAAAAAAAAAAATAATAATAATAATAAAAAAATAGCCAGGAATGGTGGCACATCCCTGTAGTCTCAGGTACTTGGTGGGCTGAGGTGGGAGGATCATTTTAGCCCAGGCGGTCAAGGCTGCAGACAGCCATGATTGCACCGTTACACTCCAGGCTAGGCCACAGAGCCTCTGTCTCAAAACAAAACAAAACAAAACAAAAAAACCTAAAAACTAAAAATACAGTGCAACTATTTATATAACATCTACATTGTATTTAGTATTATGGGTAATCTAGAGATGATTTAAGGTATATAGGAGAATGCATGTAGGTTATATGCAATTACTATACCATTTCACATAAGGGAGTTGAGCATCCTTGGATTTTTGTATCTGCAGGAGGTCCTGGAACCGATCCTCTGTAAATACTGAAGAATACCTGTATGGAGTAGTTTTTAAGTAATTTGGGAGGAAGAAGAAAATAAATTGCTGAGGGTTGAAGAAAGGTTTTGTTTTTGCTAATGACAATGACATTGTTTAGAAGAGCAAATCTTAAGATTTAAAGGCAGAAGGAAAGGAACCGGTAGAGAAGGATGATTGATAATGAAGGCAGAGCAGAAGAAAATTCATAACAGAATAAAACTCTGGATCCAGTTATTATAAACACGTGGTACCTCATTCTCACCTTCATAGCTCTTTCTTCCTGTTTTGGAGGTAGCCGAACATAAATATGTTCGGTGTAAATTTGGGGTTTTTTTACTTAATCAAAAATATACCTAGAAACGTTGATAACTTGCAGTTTTGTAAAGTGTTTCCAAATCTATGGCCTTCTAACACCTGGAGTCTTTGTAAGATCCCTCCTGGTACCCTGAGCTCAGAAGCCAGCACTGCCTTTTACCAGCTTTGGCAAAATTTTGTAAACCTCTCCAAGTATGCGTTGTCATCTCTAAAGTGGTAATGATATCTACTTGCAAGGTTTTTATTAAGATTATCAAAAAGGTATTATTGAATAATATATATAGCTGCTAAGTGGTAAAGAACAGGGCCCTACAACAGACTTTCATGGGTTTGAATCCAAGACAAGTTGCTTACCCTCTCTACATGTCTGTTTTCTCATCTGTGAAATGGATCTGATAGAAGTATTTATGTCATGTGGTGGTGAAGATGAATAAATGAGAACATCTGTATAAGTGCAGAGCCTGGCACATCTGTAAGTTTGCTCAGCAATTGAAAGTAGTAGCAGCAGTTGCCACCACTTTTACTACTCAGAGTAAAAATGCTAAGAGCAAATAAGAAAAAATCTGCCAATTGTTAGTGAGAGCTAACCAATAAGAATGAGTTCTACTAATTTAATCATTTTTCAAATTAAAGCCTGGAGCTGCTGGAAAAAAAGTTTAATATTTGCTGAAAGAGTCAAATCTAATTCTTATTATAATAACCAGACATTATTACCTCTGACACAGAAACTTTAGTGTTTGTTCCCTGAGTCACTGGTGTTGATAAATATAAGATAAATATTGTTTTTATTCTTGATTTAAAAAAATCAGTGTAATTATTAAAATTAAATAAGTAAGGTGGTCATTGTTCCTTACAAAACTGCTCAGTAAGATACACTTACAGTCTATTTTTTATTGAGAATGCTATTAGTAATTCTAGTAGTCTATTTTTTATTGAGAATGCTGCTAATAAAGTAACTATTAGATTTATAGGCCCCTGTAAATGAAATGTCTTAATAATATAAAATCTACTTGCATTCACAACAACTGGGTCTCTAATTTATGTTTTATTTCCATCTATGATATGTGACATTTTTTGATTTATCACAGAATAAAATTTGTGTCATTTCTGGTCATTCTCATTTTTTATTGATATTTAGTTGTTAGAGTAAAATTCCGACAGAATTACACAACTGAGAAAGAATGATTTGATAGGTCCTAAAAGTATATGCCCAGTGGATTTCTAATGGAGATTGAACTTGATGGAAGTATGCTAAGTTCTTCAAGTTGGAAATTAATGTTATATTTTAAGAGGACATTCTTGGCATTGCTTTTACCTTTTGGGAGGACGGGAGGAGGAAAATCATAACTTTTCTTCTTTTCTCAGACAAATGACCAAGCAGGAAATTTTTTATGAATTACAGAAACATTCAGATTGAATAGCATGCTGTGATTCCCGGCTCAGTCACTTTACTTTACCCTGCCCTTCACGTTTCTACAGACAGCAGTAATCAGAGCGGTCTGGGAACCACTCAGTCTGTGTCAGTGCAGCCTGGTGAGTTCAGAAGACTCCTTTGTTTTGAGCTGTGGAACAAGAGGAAAGGGTAAAATTGGCCCCTCTGCCTGCGGCTGGATGCAGCATGGTATCCCAGGCCAGCCTGCCACTGCAGTAGTTTAAACAAGGTTTGTGGTCTTCACGTTCCATACCAGAGGAGGAGCGATGTCCCGTAGGGAATAGCAAGTAGATGGTAACATCAGACACTTAAACGTGGGAAGCGGGCAGCCCACAGACTGACAAGGTGGACTCTGCCCTCTAATACTTAGGCAACCTCGGAGACCAAGGAACAGTCACGACCTTGTCACGTCACTTTCCACTGTGATCTTTATAAACTAAAGCATAGTGTCTTAGCACTATGAAAACACTTCGTTCTTTGCCTTTGTAGTCTCCAGCCAATGTCGGTTTAGATATATCCCTCCCATGGTTTCTCCTACTCTTCCTTGGTGTGAGAAAGTGAAATAAAGTTCAGATTAAACATTTCACTTCTTCACTGGTATTTGTGGCACATTAATTTGATATATGATAAAGATAAACAAGCAGAACCAGAGAGTAAGGGGGAGAATCCACTTATTCTAAGATAGCTTTTCTTTTTCAACTTCAAAATGAGAAATAATTATATTTATCTCTGTAACATGGAGATAACTAGGCTGTAAATTAATTTCCATGCAGGCTTTTCTAATAAATTACAGAGTTTTACTCTTTTCCAGAATCAGGAGTCCAAAATGGCATCTCTGGGTCAAGTGCTCTGAGACTTCTGACCTTGTTTCTCCATAACGAGGGCTTTATCCCCTTAAATTCATAAATTACTTAAAACATCCTTTTAACATCTCAGAGGAGAGGTGCCAGATTGCTTAAATATCTCCTGTTTTATCAGAGTGCTACATTCATTTTTCACTCATTTCAATGTAGTTTCCTCCTATAGTTAAATCACCATTTCAAAATTTAACATTGAGTTAGGGAGCGTATAGATAAATGATAGAACTTTGTGACTGAAATAGATAAATCTTGGGCCACTGCCAGTAGATAAATAATGTCTATTCAAGCATTTTAGAAGTGATCAGCTATGAGGTCGCGCAGCTCAGGGCACCGTAGCCTAATGCACTTTTTAATGAGTAAATCATTGCTAACTGGTGTGCTCATAATTTAACTCCTTTTTAAATATACTGCCCATGGGTTTTGCCCCTAAAATGCAAGTGAGGTACCCTAAGGGCCAGAAGAGGACTGGGAACATTTACAAATGAGCATGACACTAATGTGAACCAATGGATTATTTGCATTCCACTGCTTCAGTTATCACTTAATGGCTGCAGGCTCTGATGGCAGGCCTGTGGACTGTGTTATGTTAGCCTCAAAAATAAATGCTAATATCTGCGAAGTTTTCACATTCCCCACCATATTTGGTCAATTGTGCTAGCTTAGCCCCTTAAGGGCTGCCAAGAGTCTTGTTGGCAAAAATGCCACTTTGGTGAAGACATAGCTGACCACCAGTCCTATTTGTAGACTTTCCCTGGTTAACGCTACATCATTTCCTCCCCTTAGAACTCTGGGATTTGTGCTTTTTATTAAGTGTGATCATTTGAGTTAAATATAAATTGCCCTCTTATATCATATTTTCCTTTGTTGGCAGTGTTTTGGTCTTTGGATAATTCTCCCAAGGGAAGTTCTCAACTGTATAAGTTTAATGAATGGTTGTATTGATCTGCTTTTCACATAGATATTTGATTGGGTACTTGGGACCATTTGGTAGAAAAGTAAGATATATGGGGAGAAAGGAAATGACTATTTCAGGTTCCTATATGTGGTTTAATTGTGGCTCCTTTTCCTTACATTGAGGCTCTCGCTCTGATTGTAATTACATTAAATCAAAATCTTTACTAGTTAAAAATTGTATAATAAATATTATATAGATGGCCATGTTCTGTCCATCTATTCTAAATGAACTGGGATTAAAACTAGGTAATAAATTTTGTAATGATTGGGAAATGCCTAGTTTTGATTAAATAAATGTGTAATAATGTGTTTGAGTTTATGCCCTTTATTTGGTTAATACTGAAACAAAGTATATGGGGTCAAAATTCCTTTTAGATATATTTAAATGTTAAAATTTAAATATTCATGTTTTAATGGTGAAGCTTTTTCATTGCTTGGCTCAGCACACAAAATAATTTGTACATTTTTAAGTAGGAGGAAATGTCTTTCAGTACGAGGGGAGCTGACTTGTAGTGCTGTGTCTGCTCCTTAAATATGTATGTGTGTGAAAATTAGACTTACCTAGATTTTTTTCAGCAAAACAGGGTTTTAGAGTGAGCTCATGTATCTGAGAGTATTTCTAGCTTTTAAAATCTATGATTTTATAATATATGTGGAAGGTTCTTTTTATTCAAATTGTCTTTAAGGTATTTAATTTGTTTAATTTTTAAAAATCCATTAATCAATGTATAAAAAAGATAAATGGACAATTGTGATTTCCATAAAATTATTATTATCATTTTATTTTATTTTTTTTGAGATGGAGTCTCGCTTTGTCATTAGGCTGGAGTGCAGTGGCACGATCTTGGCTCACTGCAGCCTCCGCCTCCTAGGGTTAAGCAATTCTCCTGCCTCAGCCTCCCGAGTAGCTGGGATTGTAGGCGTGCCTCACCACACCCAGCTAATTTTTGTATTTTTAGTAGAGATGGGGTTTCACTAAGTTGGCCAGGATGGTCTGGATCTCTTGACCTCGTGATTCTTCTGCCTCAGCCTCCCAAAGTGCTGGGATTGCCACCGCACCCGGCCCATAAAATTATATTTTTAAAGAAATCAAAGTCCTACTTATATATTTGTTTTTAATGCCACAAATTGTACATATGCAAAAAGAGTAATCCTTTTCTCTAGGAAATGGCTCATGCTAGTACTGCCAGCATACCTACCATGATATGAGTTCCTATGAGGAACCAAGCTAGATTACATACACAGTTTCTTCTAATCCTCACAACAATCACTCGTGATAGAGATTTGTTCTGTTTTACCAAAGGAAAAACCTGGAGCTAAGCCTAAAAGTTATAAAGACCGGGGAATTCTGAACTTGGATAACCCATGAGTTTTCTATTATGTCATGTTGCCTTATCCTTATAAATCCATTAGATAATGACTTCAAGACAATATGATGTGGAATTTAAATATCCTGTCTGTGGCCACATTAGTGCTTATTAGATAATCAGCAGTAATAATTGTGTTTGGATCCTTTTGCTCACTGACCCTCTGCTAGACACTGCTTATGACGTTGAGTTCTTAAGATTGGATTTTTTTCTTTTTTCTTTCTTAACTCCCTATGCAAAGTCCTTCGTTAATTATTTCTCTCTCTTCTGTTTAATTGATTCTGTGTCATGATTATTCTAATTGCAAAATATGGAATCTTGTAATTAACTTGTCATACTATTCTAAGAGCACCTCTCATTACACTTTGGTTTATTTCATTCTAGCCATTTATTCATATTTGAGTGTATACAGTTGTACTTATGTACACACACGCATATATCCTTGTGCATGCTCAACTAAACTGGGAATTTTAACCAATATTTGCATTTCTAAGCAATATTATATATCCATTTTAAAAAGCCAATTAAATAGCTCTTTGGTGCAGTACACTGAGAGTATTGTATGTCAGTTTTCTCTGCCTCCAGCTCTGAGGGACCAAGGGCTATGAAGAATTCTCAGACCCCAGATGCCTGCTAAATATGCTTAATTTAGACAGCATAAACTGTATGTTCCAGTTTGAAAATACCACACCATGTTTTTTAAGCCCATGCCTTCCTTCATTGATTTAGAAAAGAAGTTCTAAAAATAAAATACTCACCAGAAATAAACCTACTTACATGTGTATTTAAAAATAATCACTTAGATTATCTTTTGTGGACCAAGAATTGGTGACATAGGACCTTGTCTTGGAAAAACTCTGTGAGTTTTACTGTAGCTTGTGAGACTTTGAATCTTACTGCTGTCTGTGGTTCTGGAAGGTTTTGTCTGCCTCCTTCTAATGGTAATTCTTACCAGATCTCTCGCTGACTGTTGGTCATCTTGCCAGATCTTGAGTGATGTCTTTTGCTTCATCCTGCTGTGCATCTTGCAGGAAAGTAGATGCTCTTGGTCATTTGAGTAATCCGAATCTTGTTATTTCCAGTCAACTCAGTTGGATTTCTGGGATGAGAATTAGAGGAGTCCCATTGAAAAACTGGAATGAGAGATGAGAAGTTTGCTGAAAACAGAACATTTTTTTGTGTGTGGATTGATTTGCCTCGTATACCTGCCTTGTACTTTAACCACATCTTTGCAGTTTAAAATAGAACACATTATTTCTTCAGATTCACTTATTTTGACTACATCAGTAATGCTCTTACAAGGCTGCATGACAGATTTATGGTGACATGCTTTAGGCAGTTCAAAATCCTTAAACCTATATTCAGCTCCTTTTTTCCTAGAAAGTAAGTCATCTTAATTTTCAATCTTTCTTTCTTTTTAATCTTTTAATGATTTTTTGGGGGAGAGGAATCTTGTAAGTTAGATTCTTCAAGCTTGGCTACAAATGGGTTAAAATATAGTGTGAAATATTATACTTTCTCCTATTTGATTTTGTCTGCTCATTTGTTTCTCCCATGTTCTCAGTATACATTCCAAGTTTATTGTCTGTATCACTTGTTCCATTTCTGCAGGAAAGGCTGCTTTTCTAATTGTGTTTGGTCTTTTAAATTTATCGGTGCCCCCACTTCCCTCCTGCCTGTTTTTAAATTAATAGTTGAATGTCTTTTTTACTGATGATAGAAAAATACCTTTTTCTAACATTTTCTCTTCATCTCAGAAACGCAGTGCTGGAATGATCTTACTTTTGGTGCAGTCTATTATTTTTAAGATACTAGGATTTTCTTCTTTTGTTTCTTTATCCTGGATTTCTACTTTAATATTTCATCAACAATTCATACCCTTCTTTCTAGTTTAATTTTTCTACTAAGTACCTGTCTATCTAGTAGTGATATTCATTTCAGTGATTACCTAAATACAGGTGGAGATATTATAATGGGTAGGCAGTGTTTGACATTTCCAGCTGGCCATTGTTGGAACATAAGGCCATTGTTTCTGCTGCTGAAGTTATCTTTGTTTCTAAAGAGTTTTGAAGTATATTAATGGAGGTTAGTTAGAATTAGGAAAATATTAGGGTCAACTATATTGCTCGTCTGCTTTCACAGTGAAAGGTAGCATGGAAGTGTATACTTGCTGGTTACCCTGGCAGAAATACCAACTCTAGCAGCTATTTGGATGTTAACCACAATGGCTAGGAACCAAAGCAGTAAACTTACAGTGTTAGGGAAAGGAAGAGTGCTCAGCAGTGTTGAGTTAAACAAGAGTAGTAAGCCCTCAACGTAGCTCACTTACATTTTTAAAAATTTCTTTGTCGTTGTTGTTTTAGAGACAAAATCTTGCTGTGTCACCCAGGCTGGAGTTCAGTGGCACGATCAGGGCCTCCTCACCCTCAAATGCCTGGGCTCAAGAAGTCCTTCCACCTCAACCTCCTGAGTAGCTGGGGCAACAAACGTGCACCACCACACCTGGTGATTTTTTTTTTTTTTTTTTTTTTTTTGTGGAAATGAGGTCTCGTTTCATTGTTCAGGCTGGTCTTAAACTCCTGGCTTCAAGCAGTCCTCCCATCTCAGCCTCCCAAAGTGCTGGGATTACAGGTGTGAGCCACTGTGCCCAGCCTAAAAATTTTTATAACAGTAAAATACTTTTGTGACTTTACCTTCCTCTTCTTTTTATTTTTACTGTGTGCCTTTCTACTCCTGTAATAGAAACTCTATTTAAGAAATATTCATCATCATTTATCATTATTCATTCTTCTCCCAAATCAACTCAGATATACGTTGAATAATAAAATCAGTTTATTGTCTCTCCTATCATCTTTGTTAATTTCCCTTAACATCTCATATGTAAGACGAGGTCATGTGTTCTTGCAGTGTAGGTCGTGCCTCTTATACCCTTAAATACAGTATCAGGGTTCAAAAATGTTATCATCCTAGAAAGGCTGTACTATCTCTGAGGTCTCATACACGATATCGAGATCAGATCTCACTATATGTGAGGAAAGTTTTTAGAGATGCTTTAGAAATACAACAGATGTCTGAGTTGGTTAATCTGAAAAGAGTCAGTGGATTATTCTGTTAGCATGATTACCACCCAGTACTACAGATTTCAATACTGCTTTAACACAGAGGAGTAAAAATCAGAAAATCTATAGTGAAAGGCACTTCTCTCTATCTCAATATTCTTTAAAAAAAAAAAAACCTTTGGTAACATAATAAGAAATAAGAATAGGTTTCTGTCTTCAAGAAATATTTAGTTTTTAGCTTAACATAAAAATGCCTATATTGGCTTATAATTCTGTTTTATTTAGTATAAAAGTGCCCATATTGGCTCATTGGCCCATAGGGGCTCTGAAGTCACTTGAAGTTTACTCACCCAGCAAGCTTGACTCCTTAGCAGGTGAATATTCACCCTATGCGAGGGGTGCATTTATTTCAAAGGTTTCTGAGAATGCTGATAAATTCCACCACCTTTCTTAGTAGCGTATTTAATGTTTTTTCTTCTTGTGCTCAAGTCCTCCTCACTTGTATGTAAATATTTTGCTGTATTTTATACCCAATTTTAATTTTTACTTAATTTTAATTTTGTTTAAATAGAAAATAACCAGATAATTACTTTATTTTCCATGTCTGTAATGAAATTTGGGAAATAATTCTTGAATTCTTCTTTTTAATCTTTATCGCAACTTTGTATAATCATTTATTTAGCAACTATTTGAAAAATACCAGCCATTAGGTGAAACTGTTTTTTCACTCTGGGGATGGACAACAGGATGAATACAGCAGAGCCTCTGCCTTCACTGGGCCCACTGTGTAACAAAGAAACATGCTTGCAGAAACCAAGTATAATCACCAGTGGTGAGGCTGATGATAGCTCAGGGCCCAGGTATATTTAGAAAAGGCTGGGGCTCTTTCAAACCCTGCTTTCTGTCATTTGCTTTTTTCAGTATGTATCTGCTGGGAAAATCTTCACCCTTTTAGAGTCTTTTAAATGATATTCTTAAGTGTTATTTTCTGTATATCCAATCACTTACTGTACTATATACTATAGAAAATACACTCTATTCATTTATACTTCATATTTATATTTACTGATAATTAATATTTTTAGGTATTAAATAATTGCTGTCAGGTATTAACATGTACATTTGCATTTTGCACCTCACACTTCTGTAAATGTTACTTTCTTTTTTCCACACAAGCAGATTCCCGCATGGCCAGCAGAAGTGTCTGAGCCTGCCCCACCGGAATGAATGTCGCATGTCTGTGATGTCACATGTCTGTGTCTGTACACTTTGGGCACATCCGTAGAGCCAAGAATCCCCCTTTGGTTGTCAGCATTTCTGAGGGCTAACATCTCCTAGAATCTTTTGGAAGACCCATAGTTGTAAAACTGGAAGGATGTCTTTGGGGAATATTTTCACATCGATTGTTTTGCCTGGATAACTTTTTTTTTTTTTTTTTTTTTTTTGAGATGGATTCTCGCTCTGTCACCCAGGCTGGAGTGCAGTGGTGCAATCTCGGCTCACTGCAAGCTCCGCCTCCCAGGTTCATGCCGTTCTCCTGCCTCAGCCTCCCAAGTAGCTGGGACTACAGGTGCCCGC